>NC_000007.14:151731107-151882622 GCF_000001405.40 Homo sapiens
GCTCTTTGATCTGATTAGCATAATCCTTTCCTAATCTTCCCTCTACATTTTTATTATTGTTGCCACATACCCTTTGTCGACATAATCTGGATTTCTCTTTGCCAAAGAGGCCGAAAGAAAGGCTTAGCCAAGCTCGTCACTTGTCTAGCGCCTGGAGCCTGAAAGCTGGAGAGGTGGGGAGCTTCCCTTCTGTGCCAGACATGGCCTCCCTGCCTGGCTCTGCAGCCAGAGAGGGGTAAGGGCTGAGCACTCCTGAGTCAGAGCTTCCAGGGGGCTCTGTCACAAGGCCAGCGGGTGAACATTTCCAGCGACAGCCACAGGCTTTCCAGTGGAAATGCCATCCACCGCAATTACGAATGGACCTGGTGATTCCGGGGGCTGCAGGGCCTTGATTTGATGGCTGTGGGGAGAGCTCTGTGTGTGTGTGTGCGCACAGGTACATGACATGTGTGTGCGAGTGTGTATCTCTTGACCCGGGGAACTGCAGGGAAGCCCCCAGATAAACAGTGTGCACCTTGTCCCTGGGGAAGCAGCTCCATGCTGAGTTAAGGCAGAGGAGCCCGTGGTTCCTGGAAAAGACTGACACAGCCACAGAGGAAACCCAGTGGATGGGAGGGACCTGTGCCAACAGCCTAGGTGGGCTTCCTGTGGAGAGGAGGGAGGAGAAGTCAATGACAGGGATTTCATGACCCTCACAGAAGCTTTCTCAGGGAGAAGAGGCCTCATCTAAGATTTTTGTTTGTCTTTTGAGACAGTGTCTCACTCTGTCTCCCAGGCTGGAGTGCAGTGGTATAATCTTGGCTCACTTCAACCTCTGCCTTGTGGGCTCAAGTGATCCTCCCACCTTAGCCTCCCCAGTAGCTGGGACTACAGGTGCACACAACCACACCCAACTAACTATTTTTTGTAGAGAAGGAGTTTTGCCATGTTGCCCAAGTTGGTCTCAAACTCCTGGGCTCAAGCACTCCTCTACCTGCCTCAACCTACCAAAGTGTTGGATCACAGGCATGAGCCACAGCACCTGGCTTTTTTTTTTTTTTTTTTTTTTGAGACAGGGTCTAGTTCTGTCACCCAGGCGGGAGTGCAGTGGCATGATCACGGCTCATTGCAGCCTTGACCTCCCCAGGCTTAAGCAATCCTCCCAACTCAGCCTTCCAATTAGCTGGGACTACCGACATGCACCACCACGCCTGGCTAATTGTTGTATTTTTCATAGAGATGGGGTTTTACCACATTGTCCAGGCTGGTCCCAAACTCCTGGACTCAAACGAGCCACGTACCTCCGCCTCCCAAAGTGCTGGGATGACAGGCATGAGCCACCGAACCCAGCCCTGAGATTCTATCTCCGGGAATAACTGTATGAAGGAGAGGGCGTTGCTGAGAGGGAATTTAAAACACAAAACCCTGAAGCAATCCTTCTTGG
This sequence comes from Homo sapiens, assembly GCF_000001405.40. NCBI lineage: Eukaryota > Metazoa > Chordata > Mammalia > Primates > Hominidae > Homo > Homo sapiens. The sequence continues at coordinate 151,732,531 of NC_000007.14, forward strand.
AGAACAGGGAGCAACCCTGGGCTGGAACGTTTTCCAGCTATCGCAGAGCCAGCGGTTTTTATGGAGAACCTGCGATGCTGCAAGACCTAGGGTTAGAGCTACAGACCGTGCTCCTGAGATATCGCCCCTGTTCACAAGCAGCCAGATCACAGAAAAGGCACCCAGAGTGGTTTTTCTTTGAGACGGAGTCTCACTGTTGTCACCCAGGCTAGAGTGCAATGGCATAATCTTGGCTCACTGCAACCTCCTCCTCCCGGGTTTCAGCAATTCTCCTGTCTCAGCCTCCCGAGCAGCTGGGATTACAGGCACCTGCTAACACCCCCGGCCAATTTTTGCATTTTTAGTAGAGACAAGGTTTCATCATGTTGACCAGGCTGGTCTCAAACTCCTGACCTCAGGTGATCCACCTGCCTCAGCCTCCTGAAGTGCTGGGATTACAGGTGTGAGCCACCGTGCCAGGCCCTCAGGGTGGTTTTCTAGACAGTGATCGTTCAGCTGGGTCTTGAGAAATGGGTAAGGTTTAGACAGGCACAGGCTTGGGAGGGAGGGCTTGGTCAACACTCTTGGACTGTTTTTCCTCACTCAGTGTATCCACGCCCAACACTGTCTGTGGGGCACAGGGCTCCCGCCTCCCACCCAGCCTAGCTCTTGGCTCTTCTCACTGACACACTAACCAAAGTCAGACATACTATCAACCCAGGTCCCTGGGCTCCAGCCCACTAAGAGGAGCCTTAGCCTGAGCAGGGGCTATGGCCTCTTGCTGTTTCCCAAATTCCAGAGGAAGGCTCTGGAGGGACCTCCGATTTTCTTGACCCTGTGGTCAGAGCTTGCATCTGCATCCAGGCTCTTACAAAACTTGGTTGAGATGTAAACATTGTTTTTGATGTCAGAAGCGTAGGAGACAGGATGACAGCCAACCGTTAAACACAAGGCGGGAAGCCACTGTCTGGCACATAATAGGCTCTTAATAATGGGCCTGTCCATCCCCATTAGCAAAACCAGATTTTTAGTTAATAATAGGTTCTGGTTTAATTCTACAGTAGATAAGTGTTTATTACTTTATTACTTAAATAAAAGTCATCTTTTTAGACCGTGTTAGTGAGTCTCCCGTCTAGGATTCCATCCCTCCTCTCCCTGCTCAGGGCTGGGTGTCCTATTCCCGTGCACAGTCACCATTTTTTTTTTTTTGAGGGTCTTGCGCTGACTCCCAGCCTGGAGTACAGTGATGTGATCAGAGATCACTGCAGCCTCCCCTCCCAGGCTCAAGCGATCTTCCCACTTCAGCTTTCTGAGTAGCTGGGACCATGGGTGTGCACCACCATGCCTGGCTAATTTTTTATTTTTTTGTAGAGAGGGGTCTCATGATGTTGCCCAGGCTGGTCTCGAACTCCTAGGCTCAAGCAGTCCTCCCACCTCAACCTCCCAAAGTGCTGGGAATGCAGGCTTGAGCCACCGCACCTGGCCTACATTCACCTACAAGTGATCCCCCAACCTTAGCCTCCTGAGTAGCTGGAACTCTACTCGATTAGACGCCGCTCTCTAGTTCTCTTTATGGGGCTTTCTTCTTCACAAGATTGAACACTCTCTGGGTTCAAGGACTGCTGTCTCCTTCACCTGCTCTCCCCCGAGGACTCAGCACAATCTGAGCCTGCAGACGCTTCCAGGAGAGCTGCCCAAAGCGGATATAGCAAGAAATACAGGCAGATTTTAGATTTACCTTTTTCTTTTTCTGCTCTTCCAGTTTTCATTTACAGTTCAGACATTTTGCCAAAGTCACCTCCCTGTTACACATAATGACAATATTTTTCCACTTAACACATCACATTCCGGTCAGGGGACATGGCTTCATACACCCCCCAGGCTCCTCATTTTACTCATCCCCTAGGCTGTGTCTCCCCAGCCCTGGTGAAACTCAGCTGATAAATAACAGCACTGGGGTAGGGGTCCTGCTGTTCCATCTTGCAGTGGGCTCTTCAGGAATAACCTATGCCATGCAAGCAGTAACGCTGGCAATGCGCTGACTCTGATTTGTTTTTTTAGATAGGGTCTAGCTTTGTCACCCAGGCTGGAGTGTAGTGGCCCAATCACAACTAACTGTAGCCTCGACCTCCTGGGCTCAAGGGAGCCTCCCATCTCAGCCTCCTGAGTAGCTGGGACTACAGGCATGTGCCACCATGCTCGGCTAACTTTTAAATTTTTTTGTAGAGAGAAGGTCTCATTATGTTGCCCAGGCTTGTCTCAAACTCCTGGGTTCAAGTGATCCTTCCTCCTTGGCCTCCCAAAGTCCTGGGATTATAGGCCCAGCCTAAATCTGATTCTTTTTTTTTTTTTTTTTTTTTTTTGAGGCAGAGTCTTGCTCTGTCGCCCAGGCTGAAGTGCAGTGGTGTGACCTGGGCTCACTGCAACCTCTGCCTCCTGGGTTCAAGCGATTCTCCTGTCTTAGCCTCCCGAGTAGCTGGGACTATATGCGCACGCCACCACGCCCAGCTAATTTTTTGTATTTTTAGTAGAGACAGGGTTTCACCATGTTGGCCAGGCTGGTCTCGAACTCCTGACCTCAGGTGATCCGCCTGTTTTGGTCTCCCAAAGTGCTGGGATTACAGGCATGAGCCACCGCGCCCGGCCTCTGATTCTTAATAAATGAAATCTGACATCTAATTTTGAGTGGGCAGGTCTTAACCAGGTGTGGAGCTAAGAAAGCTTTGGAATCGACCTGTGTGGCTGCAGACAGACAAGGGCAAAACCCACTCCAAGTCTGCAGGTCCTTGAAAATACTGAACCACAGATGCTTCACCACCTGTTCCACTTGCCCTGACCCCATCCTCCTGTACATGGAGGAGCTGCAGAAGTTGCCAGAGACCAGGGAGACCACAATGCAAGCTTCTCCTCATGGGGCACAAATTAGGCAGGTGTTTCCCCTCCCACATTAGCCCACGATCTGTCAGATTACTCCGCTACGGAACCTGGGAAGAAGACCTCTCTCTTCCTGACCTCCAATAGTTTCCTCTAAACTGCATGTTTCATTTTTAACAGCTGAAAACAACAGTGCCCATCCACTCTTACTTTTCCCCTGAGCCACAGTTTTTGCATAAATGAATGACAATCCAATCCATCACTAGCCTCCCTGGGCCAGGTGGGGCAAGAAAGGAAACAGCTTCAGAAAGAGTATTGTCAGGCGGCTCCCCACAGCAGCACTGCCATCAGCAAGGAAACACTTCCCACGTATTCCTCTAACCACCGCCTGATGTTATATCCCAGTTGGAAGAGAGTGGCTGGAAACAGCTACTGCTTAGGAGGGTGTGCACACACGCCGTGGGGTTCCCTCCCAAGGACAGACCACCAGGGGCTCGGGAATGGGCAGAGTCCTACCGAAAAGGCCATGAGGCTCCGACTGGCGCCTCTCCGTGCTTCGATTTTGGTCCTTGTGTTTCTTGTTGCTCCTGAGGCTCCCAAAGCGCTTCATGGGTAGCTGTGGCCACAGGAGTGGCGACAGGTGAACATATCAGGACCCACAGAACCGGTGTCAGCCCCAGGTGGCCGGGAGCCAGAGGAGCATCAGCCCGACAGGCACAGGGCGCCCCAAAAGCTCAGAGTGGCAGCCTGTGCTCAGGTGACAGCCCGGGTTCAAGCGTCCTCACCAGGGGGTCTTCAGGGCGACCTCACCGCAGCCCCAGAGTCTGTGAGGCGCCAGGGAGTGGAGCCGTCCTGACGGGGCTGCACCTCCGGCCACAGCAGCTGGAGCGTCAGCCCGGCTGTCCTTAAGTAGCAAGAAGCTGCCGGAAGCGCAAACAGAACTTCGCAGGGGATTTGTTGATGTAGTTAAGGTCAGCTGCTCACTGATACTCTCCAGGGCTTTTTTTTTTTTTTTTTTTCTCCTTAAAATTAAAAAAAGGAGGGAAGACCAGATAGGCAAAGGAGGCACAAGCCTGCAAGTCATGTGCAGCCGTGCATGATGTCTCTTTAAACAGACTGTAAAAGGAAACCACCCTGGGCAGACAATTCTTGGCACCAATTGGCCAGAGCACATTCCCATTGTGACATGACATCACACAACTATTTTGATTCATGGGTTCCAGGGCCCCACGGGGTCAGAAGGCTCCGGCTGCTGCCGGGTGGAGAAGCCACACAAGTCCCTGGGCTGGAAATTGCTGAATCTACCCTGGCTCACGGTTCCACTCAATGAAAGCAGCAATGCCGTCTTCAAGGAGGGGATACAGCTCCCCGACTGGAATTTAACGGAAGGTCTTCGGCAAATGCGTAATTTGAGCTCTGGACTTGCTGAGAATTGCAGCATGACAGAGCTGGAAGAGATTTTAGAGAGATCTAGTCCAACTCCCTTCTATGACAGATGGGGAAACAGGCTCAGGACAGGGAGGTGACTTCCCCAAGATCCTGTCGCCAATGGTAGAACCAGGACTGGAGTTCTAATCTCCTTGACTCCTAAGCCAAACCGCTGATCAAGTAAAACCTAAAACATTTATAATTTGTATATGTTTTGCAACCAATAAAACAAACTTTGGAAGCAAAAGATAGAAAAAAAATCCTTGACTTTTTGTCTGATAGCCTCACTAAAGTTACCTGCTTTGCTACTAACCAGCTTTGTGACCATCAGAAAGTTACTTCCCATTTCTGAACCTCAGTTTCCCCCTTAGTGAACTAAGACAAGACCAGGTCATTTTAGGATTTAGTCTAGGGCCAGGCACGGTGGCTCACGCCTGTAATCTCAGCACTTTGGGAGGCTGAGGTGGGAGGATGGCTTGAGCCTAGGAGTTCAAGACCAGCCAGGGCAACACAGTGAGACCCCCATCTCTATTAAAAAAAAAAAAAGAGAGATTTAGCCTAGTTCCAACAGTCTGAACCTCTCATGGTAACTGATTCTTCCCAAATGACTATGCACATGAGGAGGAGACTATGTCAGACCAGTTAAATAACCCCCGAGCTAAAGATTAGTAGCCTGGGTTCTTCTGGCCGCCCACTAGGGTGGGATAACCTCCCAAAACTGCAACGCCATCAGTTTCTTCAGCGGAATTGTTATTATCTACGGCTCGTCCGAAAACAAGGGGATGGAGTGTGGGGTGGAAGCGCCCCAGCAGCTTGCCACTGGAGCCCAGGCCTCCTCAGGAACCACAGGTCCAGCCTCCCAACTTGGGTTGGGCTGCTTTTCATGCCTTTTCTCTCACCTCTTTCATTTACAGAGCTCAGTGCCACTGGAGTTGTTGGCCCAGTCACTGCAGATGCCTGATGAGATAAAGATGGCTCCACACTCGGGCAACAGGAAGGAGGGCAAGGGAAGTCTTCCATTCTATCCCCATGAGATGAAACCCTGGAAGCTCAGCTCCCACCCCAGATCTGCCATTCCCATGGGGCCTCCATCCACAGAAGCCAGAGATGCCCAGATCTGCCACTCCCACGGGGCCTCCATCCACAGAAGCCAGAGATGCCCAGATCTGCCACTCCCACGGGGCCTCCATCCACAGAAGCCAGAGATGCCCAGATGTGCCACTCCCACGGGGCCTCCATCCACAGAAGCCAGAGATGCCCAGATCTGCCACTCCCACGGGGCCTCCATCCACAGAAGCCAGAGATGCCCAGATCTGCCACTCCCACGGGGCCTCCATCCACAGAAGCCAGAGATGCCCAGATCTGCCACTCCCACGGGGCCTCCATCCACAGAAGCCAGAGATGCCCAGATCTGCCACTCCCACGGGGCCTCCATCCACAGAAGCCAGAGATGCCCAGATCTGCCATTCCCACGGGGCCTCCATCCACAGAAGCCAGAGATGCCCAGATCTGCCACTCACACGGGGCCTCCATCCACAGAAGCCAGAGATGCCCAGATCTGCCACTGCCATGGGGCCTCTGTTGGGAGCAAGCCCCCCAAAATCTGGCCATAAACTGGCCCCAAAACTGGCCATAAACAAAATCTCTGCAGCACTGTGACATGTTCATAATGGCCCTAACGCACAAGCTGGAAGGTTGTGGGTTTACGGAAATGAGGGCAAGGAACACCTGGCCTGCCCAGGGCGGAAAACCGCTTAAAGGCATTCTTAAGCCACAAACAATAGCATGAGCGATCTGTGCTTTAAGGACATGCTCCTGCTGCAGTTAACTAGCCCAACCTATTCCTTTAATTCGGCCCATCCCTTTGTTTCCCTTAAGGGATGCTTTTAGTTAATTTAATAACTATAGAAACAATGCTAATTATTGGTTTGCTGTTAATAAATATGTGGGTAAATCTCTGTTGGGGCTCTCAGCTCTGAAGGCTGTGAGACCCCTGATTTCCCACTTCACACCTCTATATTTCTGTGTGTGTGTCTTTAATTCCTCTAGTACCACTGGAGTTGTTGGCCCAGTCACTGCAGATGCCTGATGAGATAAAGATGGCTCCAGGCTAGGGCAACAGGAAGGAGGGCCAAGGGAAGTCTTCCATTCTATCCCCGTGAGATGAAACCCTGGAAGCTCAGCTCCCACCCCAGATCTGCCACTCCCATGGGGCCTCCATCCACAGAAGCCAACCGGGTTCGGGTCTCCCCAGCTGAGCTGGTCTCGGTAGCCTCCATCTGCAGGGGACACACACCAGCTCCCAAGAAGCCTGCTCGGCCCCGGCATGGCTCCGGTGTAGCTGGAGCTGGTTCTAGCATTTCAGATCCCATCGACTGGTAGAGCAACTGCTCACGTGATTGGACCTGACCTATTAAAGATGTGTAAGTGTGCTCTTCCTGCCTAGGGGACCTGACCCATCTCTGTCTAGAATGACCTCATAGTCATACCATTGCTTAGCCGATCAAGAAACTATGGTCTCAACTTTTCTCATGCAATTTCTACCAAATTGACTGAGTAACAACTGTCTACTTGGTGCTGTGCTGAATGTTGTAAGGTCAGGGAGTCCTATAAGGCATGACCCAGCCTTTATTTATTTATTTATTTATTTATTTATTTATCTATTTTTATTTATTGAGACAGAGTTTTGCTCTTGTTGCCCAGGCTGGAGTGCAATGGCACAATCTCAGCTCACTGCAGCCTCCGCCTCCTGGGCTCAAATGATCCTCCCACCTCAGCCTCACAAGTGGCTGGGACTACAGGTGCACACCACCACACCCAGGCAATTTTTGTATTTTTCGTAGAGACGGGGGTTTCGCCATGTTGCCCAGGCTGGTCTCGAACTCCTGGCTTCAAGTGATCCACCCGCCTTGGCCTCCCAACATGCTGGGATTACAGGTGTGAGCCACCACACCCGGCTGGAATTTTCTAACCTACCTGCTTTCGCTTACACCATTTGCCCTGCCTCCTAAGCCCGTGGTTTTCAGCTCTGCCTGCTGAAACCCCATGAAACCCTTACGGCCCAATCCAGAGACCGTGCCTTCCCCCAAGTGAGCCCTCCCTCATCACTCCCCAAAGAGGGGACTTTTCTCTCCTTTGAAAGATTTTAGCTCTTCTATTCTATATGTGAATGTCGCCCTTACCACAGAGAAGACTGGGAACCCCAAAAAGATAGGGGCCCAGGCCTCACCCGTTGTGAGGATCTCCCAAGCCTACAGCAAGGCACCTGCTTTGGGAGGCACCGGACAGTCACCCTGAACGCCTGCGGTCCCTCCAGCTGCCCCTGCTCCCTGATGGAGCCGACTGGAGGGACTACCTGGCCAGGCTCCTCCTCCCGGGCTGCTGGTTAGCTGCAGCCAACAGTGGGCACAGCAGACGCCCGAAGGAGGGAGGAGTTGAGGCTTTCATAGCTCCCTACATCCCTGCAGGGTTGCTCTGGCCTTGCTGTGTCATCTCCCAAGGGAAGAATTCAGCTCCTCTCAGAGAAACCCTCCCTCAGACCTCTGTCTTGGGTCAGGGACCCTCTCCTTCATCCTTCAGGCACAGCAGTGGCAGCAGCCCTGCTGATACGAACCCGAGTTACTGCACCAGTCCTAGGGGGTTCCTGGCAGCCTGCCCACACCTTTGAAAGTAGTGTCTTTATTCAATTCTCCTCCAGTGATCCAAAAAGTTCAGTGTGCCTCCTTTCTCCTGCTGGGACTGACTGATAGATACGGGGATCAGATATTTGTAGCAAGGATGCATGAATGAACACACAAAATAGGTCTTGCTCTCAGTGACTTTGCAAATGAGCTGGAGACAAAGATAAACAATGCTAACTGCATGAAAAAGCCGTGAGTATGTGAGCCGTGGCTGCAAGTGTCGTCAGCACAAAGGAAGGAGAGGAGAAGGCCCGTGTGGCCCTGCCCGGAGAAGGGGAACTTGAGATGGGCCTTCAGGGTTGGAGGGTGTGAAGAAGAGGGGGGAACCCAGGCCAGGCCAAATCAATGCCGGAGGGGACCCCAGCCTTCCCAAACAAGCCGCGAAATCTACCGCCAGCTAGGTCCCCTGATATACTGATGGATTATTTCTGCTGTTAAATATGGTAGCCCAAACTTAACTGTGATTAAATTCTGGAAGTAGGTAAGTTTAGGAGTTTCATGTTTAGATGTCTTTTTTTCTTTTTAAAAATCAGCTTCTAACAAAAATTGTTTTCTCGATTTAAAAATAAAATAACACCTGGTGCGGTGGCTCACACCTGTAATCCCAGCACTTTGGGAGGCTGAGGCGGGAGGATTGCTTGAGCCCGGGAGGTCCAGGCTCTAGTGAGCCATGATCCTGCCACTGCACATCAGCCTGGGCAACTGAGTGAGACCCTGTCTCAAAAAATAAAATAAAACAAAATAAAATAAAAGTAACAAAGCAAAACATCTTTAGGAAAAGACCTGAACAAGTATCCCAATAAGAAAGAGGCAGATTTGATTAAAAGGAAAATGAAAAGGTTTTGTTTCAGCCAGTGTACTATTCTTACACTACATAATACAACGGACAGAAAGAACATTTCAAGGCCGGGCGCAGTGGCTCACACCTATAATCCCAGCATTTTGGGAGGCCGAGGCAGGTGGATCACCTGAGGTCGGGAGTTCAAGACCAGCCTGACCAACATGGTGAAAACCCATCTCTACTAAAAATAAAATTAGCTGGGCATGGTGGTGCATGCCTGTAACCCCAGCTATTAGGGAGGCTGAGGCAGGAGAATCGCTTGAACCAGGAGGCAGAGGTTGCGATGAGCCGAGATCATGCCATTGCACTCCAGCCTGGGCAACAAAAGCAAAACTCTGTCTCAAAAAAAAAAAAAAAAAGAACATTTCAAAGTTTAGTGACTGAGGTAAATGTATTGAAATTTGTGTGGAAAATAACCAGCAACTTAGGCAGGCCTGACGTTTCCGTGCTTGAGTTTAAATGGTCATTCATTCAACAGGTAGTTATTAAACCTCTAGTAAGCGTGCAGGGCAGTTGTTGATTGAAGGGATGAGGTGCTACAAATAATTCGGAGAAATTCCTGTCCTCTAAGAACCATATTTTATTTGTAACATAATAACATTTACTGAATGCCTACCATATGCCAGCTGGGGTGCTGGTCACCTTACAGTTATTATTTTATTTCATCCTTCCCACACATGAGCAGGGCAGGTATAATTAACATTTCATTGAAATTGAATAACTGAGGGTCAGAGAAGTAGTTTGACCTGGATGGCACAGCTGGTAAGTTGAGAGAAGATGGACTTGTCCCCTCATGTGGACCCGATTCCCAAATTCACATCCTTCCACCATACCATACTTTCTCATCCATGTGCACAGGAAAATTCAGCAGCCATTCAATACCCTAGCCTGAATCCCATAGGACTCCAGAGGACCGCTGTGGACTGAAGGGATTTGGAAAAGAATTTCTCTCTACATCCTGATTTTTCATTTTAGGCTGGGAAATTTAAAGGCAAAAGAAGAAGCATGTTTAAAAATCCTGACTGTGGCTCACGCCTGTAATCCCAGCACTTTGGGAGGCTGAGGCGGGTGGATCAAGGTCAAGAGATTGAGACCATCCTGGCCAACATGGTGAAACCCCGTCTCTACCAAAAATACAAAAATTAGCTGGGCGTGATGGTGCGCACCTGTAGTCCCCGCTACTCGAGAGGCTGAGGCAGGAGAATCACTTGAACCCGGGAGGCGGAGGTTGCAGTGAACCGAGATTGTGCCACTGCACTCCAGCCTGTGCAACAGAGTAAGATTACATCTCACAAAAAAAAAAAAAATAAAATAAAATAAAAAGTCCTTATTTGCATTAAAGCCACCTCGCAACACAGACCAGACGAGTCAGGAGGCTACAACAAGCTGACCTGCCTTGTGGGTACACCGTACTCTGGAAGCACAAAGCCGGCTGCTTCCTCCCCGAGGCCACTTCTAGGTGGCTGAGCACAGAGGTGGGGCACAAAAAACTCCTCACTGCTGGGGTCTTTCTGTTTGACTCACACATGCCTGAAATTCCTTACATGAGGGACAAAGCTTTGGATCCCACGATTAGAGATGAACGCTGATGCGTTGGGAGAGATGGCGCCTTCCCATTGCAGGGCAGGGGCTGAGGACCCTTCTTCAGCATACGTGGGCGGGGGAAAGTTGACCACTCACAGGCGGATGGGGACACCAAACCTTCCCCTCTTCTGTTTCCGCCAGTCGATGATCCCACATGAATAGAGGGGAAACTCCCTGCCACAACTGTGACCCTGCTCAGAGTTCCTTCTAACAGAATGCTTTTCACACTCAGAATTCTTTTTTAAAGGGAGGGGCTGAAAAAGGAAGGAAAGAATGGCTCCCAAATAGGAACCGTATTTTCTAATGTATTTTTAAAGGGCCAGGGCCTTTTTGGATCACAGTTTAAAACTCACACCCCTGGCTGGTGCTGCAACCCAAAGCCTGGCACGGGACCAGGTAATTCGGGTGGCAGATGCCTTTATCTCTTAGCAGTGCCCCGTGCTGTGTGGCCAAGGCTTCCAGGTCACCATTCTGACACTAGGTTTATAAGATCTGGGAGGGAGTGAAATCAGAGCTCAGCTCATTCAACGTGTGTTCTTTACGTGTGTCTTCTGGTGGCTGTTCTTTTAGATTTCTGACTACAAACCTACCTTTGACAACTCGAAAAAGAAAACAGTGTGGAAGAATACTACCACAAGGCATTTCATACTGTTAGCATGCTTCATTGTTTTCTGGCTTTTGGTTTAATTTTCTCCCCAGCTAGACTGAAAGCTCCCCGATGACAGGTATCTCACCCGCAGAAGAAAGAAAAGGAGCGATTACTGAGTTCCTCCACGAGACTCAGGAGCAGCATGATGGGTCAGGGAACAGCAAGCCAGCTGCTGCTCCATGCTCGGCATCCCTGGGAGCAGCATGTCCTGTTCCTGGAGGACGCTTTTGTGGCTGTTCTGGAGCCAGGGAGGCTGTGCTGACTGCTCCTCTGCCCTCGGCAGGGCTCCAGGCTTGGCCAGCCAGGGCTGGGCTGCGGGAGGCCATGGCACTAGGTCCCGTTCACTCTAATACTTGGATTTTACCAGGTGTGCCAGCCCCCCCACATCTGGATGCTGCAAAACATTCCACAGCCAGACTGTGCACTACACAGCAGAGCTGGGGGCGAGAGAGATGAGGAAGGAGAGGTCAGGGGAACTGCAGATGGGCTCGAAGATGGAGCACGGTCACCCCTGCTTCCTGCACATGAGGATAAGTGGCGTGAAGGCGACCACCCTTCCACAAGAGACACAATGGCGCTCCTGTGGCTCTGATATGTAACCCCCACCCCCAGACTCCGGTGACCCAAAACATGCGAGTAAACCCTTTAATTGCTGGAGGTTCTCAGCCGGTGCCCCGGGGCCACGTTCCCACGGCATCGGGGAAGTGCCAGGACATGTGGCACATGTTGTCCCACTAACGTGGTGCTGGTCCAGGCTGCAGGTTGGAGCCCCACCCCAGCCTTATCGCCTGGTGAATGGGACTCTGGGTCTCCGTTGTAGACACCATGGTTGGTGCCTAGCCTCCACTTGTCCCCCACCCCACCACTGCAGTGGGCATCTGAGAGCCGAGGGCGTCATCAGGCCGAGCTGCCTCCTACTCCAGGTAGCCTGTGAATACCTACAGGATCAAGCCCCTTGAAGCCCACCCTATCTCTGGACTTCCAATTATATCAAAACCAAATTTTTGAAAAGACCCCAAGCTTTCCGTCTCATCAAAGCCACTTTGCATGTTATGTGAAGCTGCAAATAGTCTCCTTGAAGCTGTCACTGGGGACCCATATGAGAGAAAAGTCACTGAGACTCCGTGTAACCACCCTCCCTCCATGCGCCTCCATTCATTCATGAGACTGGCACTTCCCAGGGCAGGGCTGCTGAGGCCTGGGAGCACCGCGCAGGCAGAATCAGCCCGGCCGACCGAGAGATCCACCAGCAGAGCAGGGCAGGGGGAACCCTAGTCACCCACACCCTGCGGCTGTACAGAGCTGGGAGACTTTGCCCGCAGCAGTTTCCTACATTCTTCTCAACCATGCTGTGTGGTAGGGAGGCCAGCCATGACTATTCAGTTCAAGAAATAACATTTTTCAAAAACCCAGAAGTTCAGAGGTGCTCAGTGATTTGCCCAGGATCCGTGGGCAGCTTGTGGGATTGTGGGGGTCGACACTGGCTCTGCTGGTTCCTCATCAGGGGGCCATCAAGAGCCAGGCTGCCTCTGCTCCATGGGTGGACGGCTGCAGAAGCAGGTGAGGATGCACTACTCAAAAACTTCCCGCTCATCCTGAACCTTTGCGGATCACGAGGCCATACCTGCAAAGCACCCAGTCCCCTGCACGGCTGCGTTCCAAACCACATCTCATTATGCAAGAGGGCACGGGTCCCCTCCGCGCCGGGGAGCAGCAACACGCCTTAGCACATATTTGCCAGAGCTCTCCTGCCGGTTGCAAAATACTGTGTCATGTTTCATGGAAAGTTCTAAAGGTCACTGCTGCACTTGACTCTGAGATCGCCACGTCGCCTCACTGGGGCCTCCACGCCCTGCCCCAGGAGGTGTTTATGAGCTGGCACCTCTGCGGAGCACCCTCTGCCCTGACTCAAGCCCCCACGCCTCTGTTCCACGTCAGCCCGACACACTCATGGTCATGCACAGCCTCGTGGTGACCACAGGAACTGGAGCCTGAGTCTCTGAGTGACAAGAGGGTGATTTTTTTGGCAGAGACAAACCACCTCAGCTCACACAGCTCCACTCACACCAGCGATATCTAAGGCCACTGAGAACTGGCAGAGGCAACAGGGGCATCTTGATTTTAAAAACACAGAGAAGTACTAAAAAGGTGAAAAACGATAGCAATAATTATTTTTAGCATGCCGAAATGCAGCACCCAAAGAGTAAGAAATCCCTGGATCTCCTTAAAATCTGGAAGGGGCATCGCATTCCCCCATGGAGGGCTCGGTGGGGCCCTTTTCAGTCCCTTCTCGTGGTGCCTGGCAACCCTGCAGTCGCTCAGTGTCCAAGAGCACACCAGGCCAAGAGCTCTGAGGGCTCCAGCGGCAAGAACCTGCCCTGATTCCAGCTGCTCCGTGGCGCAGAAGCTGAGCGCTGGGCTCAACGGGGGCCACCAAGCAATGGCTTCTGAAAACCAGATTCTGAAACTCTGCAGGCCAGCCATTTGGGTTTTCTGTTTAATTCTCTTTAAGTGATTTAATTCTCTTACAAGTGCTGAAGTGAGCTGGGAATGCACCGAAGCCTTGGAGAAGGACCCGGTTAACTCCCGGACTCAGCGGAAAGCCAGTTTGGCCTGTGGTCTCTCACTTCTAGGCGATGGGGCAGGATTTCCAGTGTCTGGACCTGGGCTGGTCACAGAGCAATCCACCTCCTCCTGCACGTCACTCCTTAAGAAGCCCCTAGCTTAGATTATGAGGGCTGAGCTGAAGTTTGCCTCAGATCTCTTTCTTCTTATAGTGAAATATATTTCAAAACAAGGTAACAGGTAGAAAGGTTTAAAACACTTAGGTCAGAGAACCTTAAAGCAACACAGGTTCACCCATTGGCATGCAATTCTGAGCCATTTAGTTTATTCTTCCACATTTCTCCCATAAGAGAGACCATTTTACAGGGTTTCAAGGTGATTAAATAAGACAGAATAGCAAAAATATCCTGTAAGCTGCAGAGCATTTCACAAACAGAGGACATGGCCATTCTCTGTCCCTGAAAGCAGCCTCTCAGGAGCTCCACTAGCTCAGGCACAAGGTGCCCGAAAGGACCTCGCGTGAACAGCTGCGGAAAGCCTGGGTGAGGACTGAAGGCCGCCTGCTCCAGTGGCTGCTCCTGGGACGGCTGCTGGGCACCATGCTGAGAATTCAGAGGCTGTGGCCGGAGCCTGGGGAGAGAGCGCTGGGCTCCACGATTCTGGCCTGGCCAGGCAGCGCTTGGACTTGCAATAGGAGCTCCACACCTTGGCAGAACCTGCTCTGGATCTCAGCAGAGAAATCAGAAGGAATTGGACAAAGCCCTGCTCATCAGCCCAGTGCTCAAAGCCCCAGCATTTCACGTCCTGAATGAGGAATGAAGGGATTTTCTCAGTAACAATTTACTCTTTTTAACCACACATACTAAGAAAACTTTATTCGCAGCAAATTGTGATGGGGCGGGGGAGAGGGTAGGTACCATTCAAGGCAGGAACATGGGCTGCCACAGAGCAGGTAGTGGCACAAGGAAGGAGACAGAGAGGGTGAGCAGAACTCGGGCAGAGGGCACAGACATCCTGCCTCAAACAGAAGTTTGTTCTCATAACTCAGTGGCTGCTGCTGGATGTGTTGACGCATATAGGGTGATCTAGCAAGAACCTGACTCATCTATAAAGAGTGAAATTACAGTACTTGGTATCTTTTGAATAAGAAAACTGTTGGCTCTCGCCAGTAATCTCAGCACTTTGGGAGGCCGAGGTGGGTGGATCACCTGAGGTCAGGAGTTCGAGACCAGCCTGGCCAACATGGTGAAACTCCGTCTCTACTAAAAATACAAAAATTAGCCGGGCGTGGTGGCGGGCGCCTGTAATCCCAGTTACTCAGGAGGCTGAGGCAGGAGAATCGCTTGAACCTGGAAGGCGGGGTTTGTAGTGAGCCGAGATTGCGCCACTGCACTCCAGCCTGGGTGATAGAGAGAGACTCCGTCTCAAAAAAAAACCAACCAACCAAACAAACAAAAAAACTGTAAAGTATGTAATGCATCTGACACTTAAAAAAGATGTATGCTCTGGTACTCGATGGCTTAAGTTCCAGATATCTAGAAAGTTAGCTCACGTGGCTTGTTCATTCCTTGAGACTGGCAAGATACAAAAACAAAACAAAACAAAACAAAAAACAAAAGTCATTCTACCACTTGATTGTTCACTCTTTCAGATTGGCTTTATCCCAAATGTCAGATGTTACTACATTCACGGACATCACTCACCTCAAATTCTTTTCTGTTTATAGCATCACTCTCAGTGGGGCTAAGGGGGTGAAAATCACCTCTTGGAGGGGGCAAAAAAACTTACTTTTTTTTTTTTTTTTTTTTTGGGACAAGGTCTCACTCTATTGCCCGGGGTTGAGTGCTGTGGCACAATCTCAGCTCACTGTAACTGCCACCTCCCAGACTCAGCAATCCTCCCACATCAGCCTCCCTAGTAGCTGGTACTACAGGCACGTGCCACCACGCCTGGCTAATTTTTGTAGTTTTTGTAGAGATGGGGTTTCACCATGTTGCCCAGACTGGTCTCAAACTCTTGGACTCAAGTGATCCGCCCACCTCGGCCTCCCTAAGTGCTGGGATTACAGGCGTGAGTCACTGTAACCAGCCAAAAATCTTACTTCTTATATACAAGGAACAGCTATACTTACAGTATAAGTAAACAATAGATAGTATATGTAACAATGTAAACAATAGATAGTATATCTGTTTTATTAAAATTTCATAGAGGTTATCAGAAAAAAGTCAGAAAGGCATTTTAGGGGGTAATTTTCAAAAGATTGATTTTTTTAAAAGAGAGCAGAGGGAAAACTGGGAAGGTGTGGGGTGGGACATTGAATTATCTGCCCCTCCATTTTAATAGGACGTCAACATACAAGGTTTAACACTGATAAATCATAAAATAGTTGACGAGGCATATGATTTTTAAAGGCTTCTTTTGGGGTTTGGTTGAGGAGGGTGGGAACTACTGCTTTTCAATATAAATTGTTTTGGAATGTTTGGTTTTTTTAACCATGCGATTGAACTACTTCACTGAAAATTAAAATGTAAAGGGGAGAAAATTGAACAAAAAAAATCTGGTAAATGGTGATAAGTATCTATAGCAGACAAAAATCAGCAAGGTACATTCTCAAAAACTCCCTTTGGCAAAAGCTAAAATAAAAATAAAAAAGGTTGCAAAACTCCGTCATCAGCAGCGGCAAGGAGGAAAGAACATCCGTGCCGTGCCACCTGGCCTTCGCCCCGCCGCGCCCGCAGCCAGAGAGATGAGCTGGGCACTTTCACCCAACCTGCCCCCAGTGACGACAGTGAGAGTATTTGCTAATCATTCGCCAAAATTTTAAAACACAGTTTTCTGGGCTTTAGGCAACATGGGGCTGGCCTGGGTGTTTTGGAGCCTCCGAGGGTGAGGAAGAGGCTGACGGTTTTCCTCATAGAGGCCCACGGGCCAGATGTCTCCAGAGAGGAGATGCTCAAAAGAAACTGTGCTCACTGCAAAGCAGAAGAGATGCGGTTAAGCAAGAGAACTGGATTAACCATCCATCCAAAGATCAAACTCAGAAAAGGAGGCTACGGAGAATTTGCCATCTTTTCTCTCTCCTCACTAGAAGCTTTAAAGGGATAGTTAGACCCTGAGTCAGCCTTTCACATTGTAGCAAGCAGACACCTGGAGGGGCAATGAGACAGTCCCCCGTCCATCAGCCTATCCTGATGCCCCATTTCTTTGAATCAGTGAACTGTAGTCCCCGGTATCCACCTCCCTCACTCTCTCTGCTTCCTCCATTTCAGTAAGCGTTCAGTGTCTACATGGGCCAGGTACAGAGAAGCAGCATATGAAGGTGACGTTGGTCATCAAAACTCTGCTGTTATGAAACATTTTTGTGCATCAGAGGACAATAATAAGAGAGTGAAAAGGCAGCTCACAGGAAAGGAGAAAATATTTGCAAGTCATATATCTGATAAGTGTCTAGTATCCAGAATACATAAAGAACTACAACTCTACAACAAAAAGACAATCCAATCAAAAAAATGAGCAGCTGCCTTGATTAAATATTTCCCCAAAGAAGACACACAGGTGGCCAAAAGGTACAAGAAAAGATGCTAAACTTTACTAGGGAACTGCAAATCAAAACAGCAATGGTAGACCACTTCACATCCTCTAGGACAACCACACTGAAAAAAAAAAAAAAAAGGAAAAGAACTGGGTCGGGCATGGTGGCTCATGCCTGTCATCTCAGCACTTTGGGAGGCCGAGGTGGGCAGATCACGTGAGGTCAGGAGTTTGAGACCAGCCTGGCCAACATGGTGAAATCCCATCTCCACTAAACATATAAAAATTAGCTGGGCATGGTGGCACATGCTCATAGCCCCAGCTACTCGGGAGGCTGAGGCAGGAGAATTGCTTGAACCTGGGAAGCAGAGGTTGTAGTGAGCCGAGATGGTGCCACTGCATTCCAGCTTGGGTGACACAGCAAGACTCCATCTCAAAAAAAAAAAAAAAAAAAAAGAACTGAACCGTTGGCAAGGATATGGAGAAACTGGAACCTTCATACATTGCTGATGGGAATGTAAAACACTGCACTGTGGAAAACATTCCTCAACAAGTTAAACACAAAATGACCATATGACCCAGAACCTGCAGTCCTAGGTATATACCCAAGAGAACTGCAAACGGGTGTTCCAACAACTTGTACATGAACGTTGATGGCAGCTCTATTCACAAAAGGTGGAAACAACCCAAATGGCCACCAGTGGATGACTGAGTAAGCAGAATGGAGTCTATTCTACAATGGAATATTATTCAGGCATAAAAAGGAATGAAATTCCAATATATGCCACAAAGTAGATCGACTTTCAAAACAATCTGCTAAGTGATAGAAGCCACATGCAGAAGCCCGCAGGTCATGGGGTTCTGTTTCTGTGAGATATGCAGAATAGGCAAGTCCAGAAAGGCAGACGGCAGCTTAGCATCTGCTAAGAGCTGTGGGAAGGGGTAATGGAGATTGAGGGCTAAGGGATGTGAGGTTTCCATTTGGGGTGATGAAACAGTTCTGGAACTAGATTGGGGTGATGGTCGCACAACACTGTGACTACTGAGTTATATACTTTAACACTGTTAAGGTGGCCAGGCACAGTGGTATGTTCCTGTCGTCCCAGCTACTAAGGAGGCTAAGGTGGGAGGATCACTTGGGCCCAGGAGGCAGAGGTTGCAGTGAGCCAAGATGGCACCACTACACTCCAGCCTGGGACAGAGCAAGACCCTGTCTCCAAAAAAAAAAAAAATTTGTTAAGGTGCTAAATTACATATTATATGCATTTTACCACAAAAAAAGTTAAACCTACAAATACTAAAGGAAAATATGGATTAATTCTACAATCTGGATTTCTAATGATGACTAAGTATGCTCATGCTATTGTCTAATGGCTATTTTCATGTCTTTTGAGGATTGCCTAGGCATGTCTTTTGCCATACTGATTCAAAGATTCCTTTTTTTTTTTTTTTTTGAGACGGAGTCTCACTCTGTCGCCCAGGCTGGAGTGTAGTGGTGTGATCTCAGCTCACTGCAAGCTCTGCCTCCCAGGTTCATGCTATTCTCCTGCCTCAGCCTCCCAAGTAGCTGGGACTACAGGTGCCCGCCACCATGCCAGGCTAATTTTTATTTATTTATTTATTTACTTATTTTTAGTAGAGACGGGGTTTCACCGTGTTAGCCAGGATGGTCTCGATCTCCTGACCTCGTGATCTGCCTGCCTCAGCCTCCCAAAGTGCTGGGATTACAGGTTTAGTAAGCCACCACGCCCGGCCCAAAGATGCCATATTTTTTTTACAGCTACATGGTACTCTGCTATGTAGCTGTAACTTCTTTATTTCATTGAACTACTCTATTTATTATTTATTTATTTATTTATTTTTTTGAGACAGGTTCTCGCTTTGTCGCCCAGACTGGAGTGCAGTGCAATCACAGCGCACTGCAGCCGTGAACTCCTGGGCTCAAGTGATCATCCTGCCTCAGACTCCCAAGTACCTGGGACGACAGGCACATGTCTCCATGCCCAGCTATTTTTGTTTGTTTGTTTGTTTGTTTGTTTGTTTGGTAGAGACAGGGTCTCGCTACGGTCTTGAACTCCTGAGCTCAAGCAATCCTCCTGCCTCAGACTCCCAAAGTGCTGGGATTACATGTGTAAGCCACCTCACCTGGCCAACTACTCTCTTCTATGTGGGTGTTTAGGTTGTCTCTAATACATCTGCTGAGAAGGCCTAGAAGCAATGACACCCCAGGAGTGACATGCACACGTAAACACTATTTGCCACTAAAAGTGACAAGGGCTCTTTAGAGCAATGGCTAATTCCAGGGCTGGGGTGAGGAATGTACAAGATCAGCCAGAAAGCCAGGAAGTGCCCACAGCATGATGGGGACAGGGTGGGGATATGATGGGGAAAGTCAAAGGACACAGTGATCCGCCTGGAGAGGCTCCTGCTGGCCACGTCTAGGACAATTTGAGCATCAAAAACTTGATAATGAAGACATGGAATCAACCTAAATGCCCATCAATGACAGACCAGATAAAGAAAATGTAGTACATATGTGCTGCGGAATATTACACAGCCATAAAAAAGAAAGAGATCACGTCTTTTGAGGGAACATGGATGGAGCTGGAGGCGATCATCCTTAGCAAACTAACACAGGAACAGAAAACCAAGTGCTGCATGTTCTCACTTATGAGTGGGGGCTAAATAATAAGAACTTACGAACACAAAGAAAGAAACGACAAACACTGGGGGCTACTTAAGAGGCAGAGGGTGGGAGGAGGGAGAGGAACGGAAAAGATAACTATTGGGTACTGAGCCTAATACATGATGAAATACGTGGGTGATGAAATAATATGTACAACAGACCCCCATGACACATCTTTATCTATGTAACAAACATTCACATGGACCCCCAAACCTAAAATAAAAATTTTTTAAAATATTTGATAATGAGAAATAACATGGCACTGAATAGGATACAAATCCATGAGTCCATAGATACATACACACACAGGGAGAGAAGAAAAACCTGTTCTTTAAAGTAGCATTCCAACCAGTCAATGTAGAATTCATGATAAATTTAGAAAATCGCCTTTTGGTAATTACTATAGTAACAATTCAGGCAAGAAATACATATCAATCCTAAAACTAGCAAGTGAAAGTTTGATGAGAAAGAAGACATTTACACAATCCCAAAGTAGGTCCCCCTGAAGCCCTGACTGGTGACAAGGGGGAAAGTAAGCCCTTTATTAAAGTAGAGAACTTTATGGTGGCAGACGCCCCCTTCACCAAGTGACCGGCGTCCACTTCACCGGAAAGGTGTCGCGGCCGCATCGGGTGACCCTGCTGGGATGCAGAAGCCCAGGGCAGCCCACGGATGGGTGGGTGCCCACCTGAGGGCGGAGGCTGGCTCTGATGGTGAGGAAATGTCGAAGGGCAGGTGACACAAGAACTGGCCGTTGTCCTCCTGAAAAGTGCTCAGGTCGTGACAGATGAGACAGGACTGAGGAGCTGTTCCAGATGAAGAGACTGAAGAGAAAGGACAACGAAACAAAACGCGTGGCTGGAGGTCTCCTCTTCCAAGAAATGACGCCCCTGAGACAAGGCACAAAATGTGAATGAAGCCTGCAGCTTAGCTGATAGCATGATATTTGTGCTGATTTCCTGATTTTGACAATTATACTGTGGTTAGGAGAATGACCCTGTTTTTATGAAACATCCACTGAAATATTTAGGGGTAAAGGGATATGATGTCTGCAAATTCCTCTCAGGGGTTCAGAATTCATATAAACACACAGTGAGAGATCGTGAGAAATGAGATATGGGCAGATCTGGTGAAATGCTAACATCGGGCAATCTGGGTGAAAAGGATATGAGAACTCTTTGTATTATTTTTGTGACTTTATGTTTGAAATTGTCAAAATAAAATGTTATTTATTATTTAATAATTGTTTTTTTAGAGACAGAGTCTCACCATGTTGCTCAGGCTGGTCTCGAACTCCTGGGCTCAAGTGATCCACTACCTTGGCCTCCCAAAGTGCTGGAATTACAAGCGTGAGCCACCTCGCCCAGCCCTAAAGTGTTATTTTAAAAAAGGAATTAAGAAATACAGGCTGAGCAGTGGCTTGTGCCTATGATCCCAGCACTTTGGGAGGTCAAGGCAGGAGGATCGCTTAAGCCCAGGTGTTTGAGACCAGCCTGGGCAACATGGCAAAACCCCATCTCTACAAAATATTTAAAAATTAGCCGGGCATGATGGTGCACACCTGTAGTCGCAGCTACTCAGGAGGTTGGGGTAGGAGAATCGCTTGAGTTGCAGTGAACTGTGATCGCACCACTGCACTCCAGCCTGAGAGGCAGAGCAAGACCGCATCTCGAAAAAAAGAAAAAGAGCTACAGTGGGCCTGTGTGTTAAGTAAGAGCATGTGTTAGTGCTGCCTTTTACTGTCTCCGAAGGTGGGAGCATCACCAAAGCAGGCCCTGAGAGAACTAGAGGACTCTAACTCGCTGAGGGCAAGGAGATTCTTCCGGGAATTTTTCGTTGGCTTCTCCCAAATAATAACAGCCTGGACACAGGATGTGCAGGCCAGCCCTGGCTGGGGACGTCTTCCAGGCTGGCGCCAGAGGGCGCTGTCCCCAGGGACCACACGGGATGCCAGGCCACATAACTCTGCAATGTGTTGGCTGAACTTTTCAGGAAACTTGGATGCCGCACATACTTTTCCTTTCTTTGTGGGCAGGCAAGATGAGTCACGTTTTTCTGGAGTCTGCTCAGCCCCAGTATTCAGACCTCATCAGCTGCCCTGGTCCGGAAGGCTCCAGCTGTGGCCAGTGAGCGGGGGGCCCAGGGTGCCCGCGTTGGCTGGGCCAGCACTGGGGCTTAGGGGCAGACTTGGGCAAGCCAGAGTCAATCTTTTTTGTCGGGTACAGGGTAAAGCTCACAGTAATTCTGGATCATGGCAACATCTGGGGACAGACCCAGGGCCCTTTGTACAACTCACAGGGCACAGCCCTGAGGGAGGCTGGGCTTTGGCTTCATATAGTCCCTGTTCTCCCGCCCACCCAACCCCCTCCGCCGCACCTGACTCCCCACCACCTCTCCAGGCCCTAACTTCGAGTACCTCACTCTCCAGCACTTCGAGCTGCACCTCACTCCCCAGCACTTCTCCAGGCCCTACCTTCGCGGTCCCCTCAGTTCCCCTGCCTCCCTTCCTTCCGAAGGCCACTGTGGTATTGGAAAGTTGGAGCAGCGACCTGAAGGAAGGGACCCCACCTGTGTCTATCTGCAGGAAGGGTCGCTGCAGGCTCTCTGAGAGGCAGGCTCTGGGATGGAAATGAGCATGTTGGATGTACATCAGGGAGTGCTCTTGGGCCTGACAAAGGGGCGATGGAGACCCCGTGAAGCCCCGACAGAGAGTTCTGAAGCCCGGATGCCCCTTCAGAGCTGTCCTGAGCGGGGGTCGGGGGCTGGTCCTTTATGTACATCGGCCGGTTATTGGGCGTAGGCCGGCTCTGGGAGGGGCTGAAGGCTGGCGAGGTGGTGCTCCTTAGCTGAGGGCCATCTGTCTGTCACACCCACAGCTGGGAGTGAGTTCCTCATTCTTGAAGGAATCGGGAATCTGGGAGGCACGGCACAGCACAGCCTCAAGGGTGTTCTGGCTCCAGGGTGTTTTCTAGCAGAGGGCCTAGGGGACATGCTCAGCATCTCAGGGTGTTTCAGGCAGAGGGCCTAGGGGACATGAGCCTGAGCAGAGGAAGACAGGGGGTGGGTGTGCACAAGACACAGTCAGAGCCAGCCCAGGGTGACCTCAGAGGACCTCAGAGGCCATGTGTGGTGGGGCTTGGAGTTTTCATTTAAATGTGCTGGGGCGGCGTCAAGGGGTTGAACAGGGGATGACATGATGGGATTTATGTTTTAAAAACAGGAGTTGGCAAATTACTACCCAATGGCCCAATCCTGCTGGCCACCTGCTTTTATAAATACTTATTGGAACACAGCTGCACCATTAGTTTATACTTTGTCTATGGCTTCGTAGTTGCAAAAGAGACCACGTGGCCTTCGAAGTCTAAGACATTTACCATCTGGCTTTTTACAGGAAACATTTGTCAACTGCTGTTTGAAGAGACTCCTCTCCTTGCTGGGCAGAGTCATTTCCAAGGCAGCAAGGGGACTCTCACGGGGGCCACGGCCCCTCACGAGCCTTCCCAGTTTCACCCCGGTGCCTAAAGCAACTCACTTTAGCAGTTGCTCGTGTTCTTTGGTATTAATGATATAAATCACCTGTGCACACCATGAGGTTCCTCCAGGAGGCTGCGGGGCCCTCCCAGGTGGAAGTGGAGAAAAGTCCTCAGTGTCTCTACCTGTGCGCAAACACAAATACTTCCACTGCCCTCTCCCGCCTCCTCTCCCATCCCCCATTGGTCTCCTCCTCTTCTCAGGCCTCTCCCCCTGGACCACCAGTGATGCCGGCAGCCACAGGTCCCTCTGCCCCCAAAGCAGGTCTCGCCTCTGCACCATCGGTACAGTCCCACAGGCCCCTGTGGCCTCCCTGAAAGTGAGGAGTAAAATGACTCACGTACAGGTCATGTGAGCAATGCCCCAGGAACACACACCACACACGTGACTGCAACGAAGGAAGTGTGGGTTCCTTTTAACGTAGGAGCCACCAGAGCTTCCCCAGGAACCTCTCTGCCTCTGAGGCACCAAAGGTTTCCTGTCCTTGCAATGCTGGGAGGGACCCTAGATGGATTTGTGGGTGCATCTCGGGCACCCCGCTCAGCACATGGCTCAGGCACACGCAACGACTCAGTGGTGCCTCCAGGCGAGCGGGTACCTGCGCTGCTCTCATGCTCAATCCTCACCCCTACTCTGCCTGGATGCAGGGGCTGACCTCTGACCCCTGCTGCCATGTGTCCAGGCTCCCGCTGGGCAGGAGACAGGGAGACACCTTGGGCAACATCTGACCATAGCTACAGCCCCTTTGGCTCCCGTTCCTGCCAGACAGACCAACTGCAGCTCCTGGTTCCAGCCCCGCCAGGGCTCCCAGCGCCGCCCTCTTCCCTTCTCCCACCTGGGGTGGGAAAGGATTTTCCTTACTCATCGGTGGGTCGCTTCCCAAACTCTAGTCTGGCGTCTCAGCTCTTTCCTCACCTTTATAACCACGCAGCCACATAATCAGAACTGTGACGTCCGTGTATTAAACTCCATCTGCTTTTAGTACGGAGAGTAACCCTCTTCCAGGTAGGACCCGGGCTGACAGCTGAGCTAGGGCCATCTGCAGGAGACGATTCAGACGGGGTCAGCGCTGCGATTCGGGGGAGTAACCAGCGGTGAGCTTCAGGCCTAAATGCTGGAGTCCTAAAATTACTCGAGTCTGACCCCCCGGTTTTTGGTCTTGCTCTATATTTAGGGACAATGGCCCTATTGATGCTCACTCGCTGAACCACTGCCTGGCGTTTGTTCTGCGGGGCAAGCTGGAGTGGGGTGCTCCTCAGCCCCGGGAGCCCTTGGGATGGAAATGCAAGACTCAGAGGCTCTAAATTAAAGTCTTAAAAGCTTGGGCTCATTCCTCCACACAAAGCACAAAACCTTTGGCATTTTATGGGAAAACAGACTTTTATTTGAAAAATAAACTCAAGTTGCTGGGATATAAAGGAAGAGCTGTCTGTGATCCAACGCTGAAATGGTGTGAAAGGACCTGAAGTTTTACAAGTTAAATAAACTTCTCTGAAAGACTCATTCGAATTTCAAACAGCTCCCAGCACAGATCCTCTGAAAAAGATCCCCAGATGCAGCAGGATGAGACACAGTGCCCGCTCCAGGGTGGGGGTCAACCATGTGGAATGGGAGATTCGGATTCAACCACAAACAGAGAAAATTAAATTCCTTTTGGATGTTCAAAATACACATGACCTCGGTCATAATTGTGAGCTAGTCTTGGAAACGGACAGGGGGAAAATCTACCATTCCACATCTCTGGCAGAAACCCGGGACTTACTTCCATCCAGCGGATCCTCTGTGCCCTAAGAACCCCCCAAACCAGACTCGCCTCAAAGGCGTTCCAGACGCATTCTGCTGTTCTCTGACCATCTAGGGTGGTGTTTTCCAAACTGCAACCACTGCCCCCGCCACCCCATCATGAAATCAACCGTGTGGGTCAGATAAAGCAGCTGAAACAATAGAATCGAAAATAAAGTACCTAGTCAGGGTCAATATTGCTTCGTAAAAGGGCTTTTGTTGATGTGTTGTATGTGCTGGATTATGCCATCAGATGGATTTGTTACTGTGGGCTGCAGTCAAAACGTTTTCAAACCACTGCTGCGATGAAGCCCTGCGGCTCCGCTTTACCATCTCAGTGCTGTAAATCTTCCCCGGGTGTCAGAGTATATTCTCCACCTTTTGCTTTGTGCTTGTCCCTACCAGACACCATGGTCATCACCTAGAGTAGCCTTCGGTGTAATCAAAGTAGGTGGCTGTCTAGGCCAGTGATTTTCAACTCTTTTTTTTTTTTCTAGTAGGACAAAGATAATGTCCCAATGTCCAGCAGGGCTGATCCTGTCAGTAGCAGTTACTGGGTGTGCCCTGCTGCCCCCATCAGACAAGATGCCATTTCTTGCTCCGTGGGGGCCAGCTGGCCAAAGGCCACCTTGTCTCACTCCCTAAAAGCTACCACTGCATGATTTTAGGGTTCTGGGAAGACAGTCGCTTCCAAAAAGAGAATCTGTGGCATCTGGTTTTGATGCTAGGAATTCTTTCTTTGTTATGAGATAAATGTGTCAACTACCCCTGAACTATGTCACCTTTAAGTTCTATAATGTCTATTTTAAATATTTTTGCCAGAACTGTTTCCATCTGAGGGAGGAGGGAAAAGGATAAAGGCATGTTGAGCTCTAGGAGCTGGGAGCCCACAGAAAGGAAAACAGAGCAGGGAGATCCAAGGTCCCCAGAGACATGGTGTTCTTCCCATGTTGGGTGACCATCAGTGTACCCCAAAGGTTCCAAACCCCGAAGGCACTGATAGACCTGGGGGGATGAGGAGGTATGAACTGGAAGAGCTTGGGAAAATAAGAGGCAAGTGCATGAAAAGCTCAATATGTGATTTTTAAAGAGACAAGAAGGCAATAGGAAGTTATCACGAGAGAACACAGACTGCAAAGAGACTTAAAATAACAGCTATATTTCAGGGCTCTGGCAGATTGCTCAAGGCAAACAGAATCCAGTAAGGCTTTCTGTAGCGGGCAAGACTTGAAGGAGGTCTCTGAGGAGGCGGGAGACCATGCTAATGTATCTCCAGATCCACTGCAGGGACCCCTCACTGCTCACCCCAGCCCTGTCTCTACCATCTCTTTACTGCACAGTAGCCAGACATCTCTCTGCATTGCATCCGATCGACATCCGATGGCTTTCTGTATCGCTCAATTAAAACCTGGAATCCTGACCTCTCCTGCAAGGCCCCGCCCCACTCCCTGACCTCACTCCAGCACCTGCTCCCTCCCTACTTGGTTCTGGCCACATTGACCAGCTCCCTGCAGGCTCAGAGGCTGCTCCTGCCTCCGGACATTTGCATCGTGGGCCCCTCCGCCAGGCGTGCCATGGCCTCCACCTGTCCTCTCCCTGGCTCCATCTCACCACTGGCCAAATGTCTCCATGTCAGAGGCTATTGCTGACTTGCCCACATAGAGCAGCACCCCCGCAGCCCCTCTCCTTTGACTGTTGTTCCTCTTGGCACTTGGGACACATGACACTTTTCCACCTGTGGTACCGATTGTCCCTAGAATGGTATCCCCACGAGGGCAGGGATGGGCTCATTCACTGCTGCGTTCCCAAGGGCCCAGCACTTAGCAGGTTCTCATGTAACGTGGTGCAGGTGAATATCCTCCATGCCAGACAACTCCCCTTTGAAACGCCTGGGCAGGCAGGTATCCTTGTCCGCTCCTAACACCAGCTTTCTTCTGTCTGGGAGGCGCATTTGAAGGTGAACCGCACTGGAAAAAACCCAGGCAGGAACGATACCTGCTGCTTTCCCCCAGGCAGGACCAACCTGCTCCCAGCACCAGACTCAGCATGTGAGGCTATGTCACCCCCTAGTGGTCACTCTGTCACAAAGCCAGAAAAACCAGAGGTGGGCTCCGCCTGGCCAGCTGTTCTCAGGGCCAAGGGGACCCCGACCTACTCTCTCACCCAGACTTTTTCTACGAGTGAACTCAGATGTAAACAGACATTCAGAAAATAAAGGTGAAAAGGCATCTAATATTGAGGCCACATTGTCTTGAATGAGGGAGAGATTTAACATCGACATTCTTCCTTCTAGTACGGGCTCCAGGCTGAGCGGCTGTCCCAAGATGTGGACTGTGGTGGGGTAGCACCAAGTCATTCCTACAGAGTTTCTCTGTTCATTGCAGATTATGTGGGAATTTATCAAAGATTAGCCTTTTCTTTTTTTAAAAAAGGAAGCTGAGATGGGAGGCAGGCCAGAGAGAACCTAGGAGAAGTGAATATACAGCAGGCAGAGCCCAGACCTGAGCAGCTGGGTCTCCCAGAAGCCTGTCTCCATCAGCCTGCTTTGCTTCCTTACTTCTTTGAGAGAGAGCTGGGTGTTTGTTTATTGTTTTTGAAACAGAGTCTTGCTCTGTTCCCAGGCTAGAGTGCAATGGCAGGATCTCGGCTCACTGCAACCTCTGCTGCCCAAGTTCAAGTGATTCTCCTGTCTCAGCCTCCTGAGTAGCTGGGATTACAGGCACCCACCATGCCCGGCTAATTTTTGTATTTTTAGTAGAGACGGGGCTTCACCATGTTGGCCAGGCTGGTCTCGAACTCATTATCTCAGGTGATCCGCCCACCTCGGCCTGGCCTCCCAAAGTGCTGGGATTACAGGCATGAGCCACTGCACCCAGCTGAGAGAGTTTTTTAAAAGCTGGGGACTGCCCTACAGCATGAGGCTTTTGCTAATGTGCACTTAGCATTTCCTCTGCCCCAGACCTCTGAGTGGCTCTCTCTCTGGCTCCAGTGTGGTCTCCTTACCAGAGAAGACTTCCCTCGCCATTCCATCCAAAGCAGCACCCACCCCACTACCCACTCTCTCGCTCTGCTTTCCTTTCCTTGACAACGTGGGGGCAGTTAAAGTCTATCTGTGCTCCCGTGCCCCATCCCTCCTCCAGCCCTCTGTCTGGAAGATTCCAGGCTAGCTCTGCCAGCTTGGCCATGATTGCCTTCAGCCAAACAGCGCACCTTGTCCATAGCTCCCCTGGGGCAAGGAGATGTGTCAGGATAAAGTTAGGATGGCTTCGTGGCATGAACAGAAAAAAATAACTGAAAGGAGGCTAAGCCACAAGGATGCTTATCACCTACAATAACGAACAGTTAGTAGGTAGGCAGTTGCAAAGCAGGTCAGCTTAGCGAAACTGCCTTTGCAAAAGTATCACTGTTAGGAGAAATCTGACATAGCTGATTCCATATTGCTTCTGACCTCCAAGTGTCCTTGGTCATTCCTGGGCACACACAGGCCAAGCTAATTTTGGGAGAAATTTAGTTTATAGTTTAAACTACATACAGTTTAAAGCAAGGATGATACTAGCCCTTCCCCAAACTAAAACACCATTGCAAAACTAATGAGAGGCCGCAAGGTTAGGATTGAGAGAGGCCTGAATTCTGCTAAGATGTAGGTGTAGTTAAATGACAACCAGCCATTGTCCCGAGGTCACAAGATTTGTAACTTCCCCAATTACTCCTGTAGATAACATCACTATTAGAGAACCTAAGATTGGCCTTTTGAGATGTCTTTCCAGACTTCTGCATTTCTGGCAACCAATTTGACCTCACCTGGACTCCTGACTCACCACCCAACCAGTCCTGTGGCCCCACCCAGAGGAGGAGTCAGTGTCATTTTCCACACCCCTCTGAAGGCATCCCAACTAATCAGCTGCACCCATTCCCTAGTCCCTGCCCGCCAAACTATCCATGAAAACTGCTAACCTCTGAGCCTTCAGGTAGACTGACTTGATTTGATAGATAACTGTCCTGCATGGCATGACCGGACTCATGTCAGTTAACTCTTTCTTTACTGTGACGCCGTGGTCTCAGTGGATTGAGTTTCCCTGTACAAGAGGCGGAAGGACCCATCGGGCAATGACATTGGTGCTGCCAACTGCGTGGAGAATCACCTGCCCACCTTTCCACTCAGCCACCTTGTGCCTTGACCTTTGTCCTCATGGCCCTAGAAACCATGTCCCCAGACCACAGTCAAAGGAAGAAAAGGAAATTTATCCCCGTGTGTCTTTTTTGTTGTTGTTAGGGGACGCACGTTTTTCTTAAATCCCTAGCCGACTTCTCCCATTCACTGGCATGTGGGAAGGGGATACTTCTGACTGAACTAGACCAACTGCAGCTCATGGCCTGGGGCCATGCCCTGAGTTAAACCAGGTTCTGCTATGAAGAAACAAGAGGCAGCCACTGTCCGATGGGTTAGCACAGTCTGCTGCGCACCTCAGCGAGGAACAAACTGTGCACATGGACAAATGTGATGGACTTAGCGGGAGAAGGGGCCCAGGACAGGTGGGGAGAAGACGAGAGGAAGGCCCTGCATGGTAGCCGAGGGCAGCAGGATCCCCTACACGCATCTCCAGGGTGGGAAATGACTTTCCGCAGTAGGCAGGCAACTGTTGCAAGAATGAGCCCAATGGAGGAAGGAGGCTTGGCTATCTCACAGTATTGACACACGTACTCACACACATATGTTAATTCTTACATATACGACGTATACGTAAGCTTAAGGAGCAGGTAGGCAGGCACAAGAAGCCTAGCTGTGGCCTACTGGGAGCCTCTAAAGGGAGCCACCACTGAGAGGCAGTGTCAGTTCTGTGAGGATGGGGGCTAGGAAGGCTGGCATGGGCAGGTCAGCTATTCATGGGAGCAAAATACAGGGGTTTGGTGGAAAAGAGGCAAACTATGCCAAGCATCCTCTGTGTTTGGGGCAGACTAGCCCACGCACATCGACCAGCACCTCTGAGCTGTGTGCCGTAGAACAAGCCACTTGCCTTTTGCCAGGATGAGCAGCTGCCTTGCAGGATTGCCATGTGTTCAGAATTGGACTCAAACCCCACTGAAGCTCACTGCTAAACACTGAGGGGTGGGGGACACAAGAGAGGTCCATCTGCAACCCTAAGAAGCATCCTTTACAGAGCAGACGGCACATTCAGACACATGCCCACAGCGCGGCTCCCTGACTGATGGCTGGCTGGGATAAGGGCAGGTCTGTGAGGACAAGCAGCCTCATCAAGACCATGGGGACAAACAGGAGGCGTCCCCCAAAGCAAATAAGCCAGCAGCCTGAGCAGGACAAAAGCCAGCACTAGAGATGGGCAGGGCTCCCGAGTCGTGACAGCTCTGTCCCTGCTCCCTCTACCGGCTCCTCCCCTCTCAGCCTGCACGTGCTTCTCCCACCTTACAAAGAACCAACTGAAAACGTCCATTAAACTGAATCCATCCCCTCGCTACCAGCTCGCCTTAATTGTCGGGTGGGCTCGGAAGTGCCACAGTAAGAATTAAGCGCCAGAATCTAAGCTGAGCCCCTAAAAAGGCCACACACAGTCAGACGCAGCCAAGGCAGGTCTCACGCTAAGGCGGGTCTCCTGCTGTCCTGCTCCCTCCTCACCTCTGTGTCTCTGCCTCCAGCCATCCCGGCACAGAGTCGAGCACACGGGTTGCTCTTGATGTCTTGGGTGGGAAGTGACGCCTGTCCTCTCTCTTTGGTGAAACCCCATCATGTGGTCCCACCCTGACCGCAGGGGTGGGCTGGGAGAGGCAGAGGAGCTCCTGGCTCTTGCACAAGCACCAAGCTCCTGGCACAGATGCATCCACCTGCGCTTCTGACCCCAGGGCCTTGAAGGAAGTTCGCTGGCTCCTCAGCCACTGCCCCACACGCTTTCCTTCCCTTCCTGGCTACTGAAGCTGCTCTCTTGGAAATCACCAATGACCTGCCAAGTCCAAAGCCTGGCCGGACCTCCAGGGCTGATCGTCCCCTCTCTTGAGGGACTCTTCTGGGCCTCTGTGACCCATATGCCTCCTTGGCCTCTTTCATGGACCCTGGGCCTCTGCCCTCCCTCGTGTGCCAGCCATACCCAGCTGTCTGTCTCCAGATGCCGTGCCTGGTCTGGCTGATGCCGTCCAGGGCTATAGCTGCTGCCTGTGTCACCTGACGAGCCCTAACACCCATTTGCAGCTGACAGTGCCCTGAGCCCAGGCTCCCCTTGGAGCTTGCAGGCCCGGAAACCCGCAAGCTCTGGACAGAACATGCAGCCTCACTGCTTTCCTCCTTGTGCGTCTCTACAGGAGTTGGTGTCTAAAAGGGACAAAGGCACACTCCAGGTGGAGAGGGGCACAAATGAAGTTAAAACCAAGTTAGACAGGGCTGGGACGGGCAGACAGCCTGGCAGAGGAGGGAGGCAGTGTTTGCGCAGGTGGACGGGGTGTGAATTGGGGGGTGAGGTTGGCCCTGATCTGGCAAGCAGTTTGAGTTTTCTGAAGTCTCTAGCAAGGGAATGACATAATAAAAGTGGTGATGGAAACATCTGTGCAGCAGCCGCTTTGACAGATCTGCAATCACAGCTCTAATGGCCACAGGGGACACTTCAGGCCACTGCCCTGGGCCAAAGCCAGAGCGCAGCCCAGCCCAGGAGAGTGATGGAGAGACCAGCGCTCCAGAAGGGAGAAAGGCTGTCCAGAGACCCAGAGGTTGGCGCCCTTCCTTGGATGCTTTTTCATTTTGCTATTTGTCCTTTAAGCTAACAAACACTCAACTCCAGCTCTGATTTGCTGACACCTGAGCTGAGGGCCTAGGGACCTGCTACCCCCGCCCAGTACTTTCTGACTGTCCACCCCCAGTGCCAAGAGCTCTCCACCTGTCAGACGACCCAGGGAGAGCGGGGAAGTGCCTAGAGGCATCCCAGGACTGCGATGGCTACACCACGAGTGCTGTCAACTCCTTAGTTCATGAGTCCTACCAGAAGCCCGGAGACCTCATGACCTATTCACACTGTCCTGCCTCCCACCCAACCATGCTCCCAGGAGCAAGTGGGTCAGGGGCAGAGCCAGGAGGTGGGGGCAGTGTCAGGATGGTCAGGGTTTGGTCCCAGGACGTGGGGGCAGGGCCAGCAGGTGGGGGTAAGGCCTCAAGGTTGTAGAGAGACAGGGACTCCTTCCCCATCTGTGAAGCATGGGGAGGCTGCAGTGGGGACTCCAAGGTAACACACCTGCCCTCTGCCTCACTGAAAACAACAGAAGATCATGGCTGAGAGGCCGAGCATCCTGTCTGCTGTGTGGCCATAGCTTTCCTGGACATTTGCTGTGTCTGTTCTCTGGCTGCTGTCTATGGCCAGGGGGGCTTAAGCAATGGGATTTATCCCTTCACAGTTCTGGAGGCTGGGAGCCTAAGTCAAGGTGTGTGTGAGCCCGCAGTCCATCTGTATTAGTCCGTTCTCACACTGCTAGAAGGAACTACCTGAAACTGGGTAACTTATGCAGAAAAAAAGTTTAATTGACTCACAGTTCTGTAGGCTCTACAGGAAGCATGGCTGGGGAGGCCTCAGGAAACTTACAATCATGGCAGAAGGTGAA
This sequence comes from Homo sapiens, assembly GCF_000001405.40. Taxonomy (NCBI): domain Eukaryota; kingdom Metazoa; phylum Chordata; class Mammalia; order Primates; family Hominidae; genus Homo; species Homo sapiens. The sequence continues at coordinate 151,765,254 of NC_000007.14, forward strand.
GAGGAAGCAGGCACGTCTTACATGGCATCAGGAAGGAAAGAGTGAAGGGGAAGTGCTACACACTTTTCAACAACCAGATCTCGTGAGAACTCATTCACTATCGCCAGAATAGCAATGGGAAGTCTGCCCCTACGATTCAATCACCTCCCACCAGGCCCCTCCTCCAACATGTGGGGATTACAATTCAACAGGAGATTCGGGTGGTAACAAGAAGCCAAACCATATCACCATCTGAAACCTGGGGGAGCCCTTTCTGCCCTGCAGCTTCAGGGATCACAGGCACCAGGGCATCCCCGTCTCAGCTCCACCAGCTCCCTGGGTCTCCGTCATCACTGGGCCTTCTTTTAAGGACACCAGTCATTCTGGACTGAGGGCCCACATGAATGACCTCATCTTAAATAATTACACCTGCCATGACCCTATTTCCAAGTCAGGTCACATTCTGAGGTCCTGGGGGTCAGGACTTCCACAAACCATTTTTGCCGGGAACATCATACAACCCTTAACAGTTACTATAGGATTAAATGAAATCCTACAGTGTATTTTAAAACTCTATCTAATTGCACCTGAAATAAATTCTTCATCTTGTCTAATTCCCCAATTAGCCCTGGCCTGATAACTTGATTTTCATTCCTGTGTGACCCCTGGCACTCCTGACCCACTAACCTGATGCTGATGATGGCATCATGTGTCTGGATTGGGGACCTTCCTAACGTTGACAGGTGATTCATCTGATAATGGTTTTGAGTGGCTATTGTGTGCAGATCCTACTCAGGTATTATAGTATCTCCAGGAACTGTAATAAACAGCAATTTCAGACTCAATTCATCTCCTTTATCTGTGACACTGTGTGAATGGGAACACAATGGACCAAAAGAACACTCAGCCCATGCCAAAATCTCCCAAAGGACACAGAGGTGTCACTGTAACTTCTCACATATGCGCTGCACGAGGACTCGGCTGGGCTGCAGATCTGAAACCTTTGTTCTTCCAACTTCACTTACAGCAGTAAAGCCCATTTATCAAAATCTATTTCCTTTAAATGATGGTAGGAACGGGGAAGAAGTGAGGTGGGGGAGAAACTTACAGGAAGAGTCTTGTCAAAAGGAGACATTTTGGAGTCAACAATGGTAGGTGGGAGGTTGGTGGGAAGTGAAGCTCAAACACAGTTCACTCAACAACCTGTACTCAGTAACAACAGACATGTTCATCTCACTAAAAAGGAGAAAACCAAAGGCGAGGCGCCCAGATCGTGGATAAGTCCCAGGAGAGAGTAAAAGCAGAGTGCTGAGACCAGCTATCACCCTGATTTGGAACACTGGCTCAGGCCACTTTAGAAAGGGGGACTGGGGATGACCTATGCCCAGGCACTAGTGTGTTTCAAGAAAAAGGTGTCAGAGGACTGCAAGTTCACAGACACCTGAAGACAGTGGGGTCTGCTACTGTGTGGGAGGCTCCCTCTCATTTATCCGTCAAGGCCCGCTAAAGTGTCTCCATTTATCACAACACCTCTCCGAGCCAGTCCGGCCTACCACTAACTCATCTTTCTCCAACTCTGTCCGTACCTACGGCCTGTGTTGTTCCATTCAGCACATCAATCGTGGAGAAGGCAGGACATATCCATTCCTTGATAGTCCTATGTCATGGGTTGAATTGTGTCCCTCCAAAAGTCACATGTTGAAATCCTAACTCACAGCACCTCCAAACGTGACCTCATGTGGAAGTAGGGTCATTGAAGATGTGGTTAGCTGAGATGAGGGTTATACTGGAGTCAGAGGGTCCCGTAGTCCAATAGGGATAGTCTCCTTAGAAAAAGGGGAAATTTGAACACAGAGACATGTGCATGGAAAAACCTCTGTGAAGATGAAGGCGGAGACTGGGGGCTGTGCTTCCAAGCCAAGGAATGGCAGTGATGACCAGCACAGACCAGGAGAAAGAACAGACGCATGGAACAGACCCCCTCACAGCCTCAGAAGGAGCCGGCCCTGCCCACACCCTGATTCCAGACTTCCAGCCTCTTGAGATAATAAACTCCCGTTTTGTTTTATTTTGTTAAAGATGGGGTCTCACTCTGTCACCGAGGCTGGAGTGCAGTGGCCTGATCTCAGCTTGCTGCAATCTCTGCCTCCCGGGTTCAAGCGATTCTCCTGCCTCAGCCTCCCGAGTAACTGGGATTACAGGCATCTGCCACCATGTGCGGCTAGTTTTTGTATTTTTAGTAGAGATGGGGTTTTACCATGTTGGCCAGGCTGGCCTCAAACTCCTGACCTCAAGTGATTGGCCCGACTTGGCCTTCCAAAGTGCTGGGATTACAGGCGTGAGCCACCATGCCCAGCCAACTTCTGTTGTTTAATGCACGCAGTTTGTGGTGCTGTTATAGTGGCCCTACCAAATGAATACACCTGTCATGATTTGTAGTCATCCACACTCGCTTAGATATCAGTGCATGTGAGTGAGGCTCAAAGAGTACCAGCTAATTGTTAAATCCTGTGGCAAGTCACTCTGTGACGTGAGTCATTACTCACTGACTTTTTTGAAACCAAATGTTTCTGTCTTAGACCTGCTCAAAGGAAGAACTGGCCAAAAGCTCTGGTTCCTCTTATTCTGATTATGGAGCCAGAGTTAAGTGCTGCTGCCCAGAGATTCTCATTTCTCCACAGCCTCCTTTTTCTCTCAGCCATTTTCCTCTAGAAGCAGAGCCTGAGGCAAGGATTAAGATCAAGGTGAGGTAGGGCAGGAGAAGCAGCAATGAAATGAGTTGTCATGCTGGCTGCTGATGCATGACAAGCTGCAAATAATAACATAATAATCAGAATAAAGAGCAGGGGAGCTTAGAAAGCATGTTCACTTGGCTCATGGGACTCCTCCAGGAGGGTTCTAGAAAGGAACTATATGTGGGGGGATCCATAGCCATCATCAAGGAGGAGGTTTCTGCCCAGCTTCCTCAAAGCCACAGTTCCTACTGGTCAAGTATTACTCTGTGGAGAGCTAAACTCCCCCAAACTTCTAGGCTGTATCATGCAGCCCCTTGTCATCATTCATGAGGCCAAACTTCCTGCCCAAATTTTAGGATATTCTTGAGGTAAGGGGAATACGCCTGCAATGACCCCACCAAAACCCCATTAGCAACGGCAAAGCTTAAATAAATCAGAAGCTTCATCAATAAAGTTTAGAACTCTTGTTCTTCAAGATCTCTCTTCCTATTCTTTCTTTCTTTCTTTTTTTTTCTGGAGATAGAGTCTCACTCTATTGCCCAGGCTGGAGTGCACTAGCACGATCCTGGCTCACTGCAGCCTCTGTCTCCTGAGTTCAAGCGATCCTCCTGCCTCAGCCTCCCTTAGTAGCTCGGATTACAGGCACATGCCATCATACCTGGCTAATTTTTATATTTTTAGTAGAGACAGGGTTTCGCCATGTTGGCCAGGCTGCTCTTGAACTCCTGGGCTCAAGTGATCTGCCCACCTCAGCCTCCCAAAGGGCTGAGATTGTAGGCGTGAGCCACTGCACCTGGCCAGTCTTCAAGATTTTTCCAAACAGACCAAGAAGGCTGCAGTTGGTGCCAGGACTAAGTCAATGGACAAGGACAGCCCGTGCCTGAAGAAACAGCGACTCTGTAGCCTTGCTCTTTCTTCCCATCCTGGGCCACTGTGTCATGATTCTTACCCACTCCTAATCCAATCCCCACTTGCAAGACCTCAACAGACTTGGAGTTCTAATGCACTGTGGCCTTCCTGTCCCCCTGAGATGCTCCAAAGCTCCATGGAGGGTGTCCCCCCAGTGCAGGGAGCAATGATGCTATCTGGTTTTACCAAAGGGCTGTGTCAGCTGTGCTGGGCAGGCAGCTTTCTACAGTGTTTTACTGCATTTAAGAGTCACAAGAAGAAACTAACCCAGGCAGAAAGGCTGTGAACAAACCTCAGTCAAGCAAAGAAGAGAAGACAAGTGAAAGTAAACATCAAAGAAAATGGCCCAGGAACTTTGAATGCAGTTGATGCTGTGGTTGTAGACTGCGCTGGGTTAGACAGTGCCCCCACTAATTCATTTCCTTTCCAGAACCTCAGAAGGTGACCTTATTTGGCAACAGAGTCATTGCAGATGTAGTCACTTAAGTTGAGGTCGCAGTGGAGTAGGGTGGGCTCTTAATCTCCTTTGACTGCTGTCACTTTAAGAAAAGAAAAAGAGACAGACACACACAGAGGAAGGCCACAGGATGATGAAGGCAGAGGCTGAAGTTACGCATCTACGAGCCAAGGAACCCCAGGGTTTGTGGGCAACTGCCAGAAGCTAGGAGGGAGGCCTGGAACAGAGCCCTCCCAGAGCCTTCAGAGGGAGCATGGTCCTGCTGACACCCTGATTCCAACTTCCAGCCTCCAGAATTGTGGGAACAGGAATCCGGGCAGCTTAGGCCATGCAGCCTGTGGTGCCTGTGTGACAGCCCCTGAAACTAACCTGTGGGCCATGAAGGCACGGATGCTGCAGCCGCATCTGGGGAGGTGTGGCGGAAACACGAGGTGGGCAGGTGGCACTGCTTGCGGGGCTGGGGTGCTGGGCTGACATGGCCGAGGGTGCACCCCCACCCCATAGAGTGGGCACCTAACCTGCTGGCCCCAGAGTGCGTGTGTCCACTGCTAGGGACCACGGAGGCCAAATTCAGTACCTTTTGAGAAATAAAGCTAAAATTCTAAGCCCCTAACCAACTGAAAGAACCCCCTCTTGGCCACGGGGACCCCAGAAAAACCTTAAAACTGAGTTCCCGGCCATAATGGGATGAGAGGTCGGATGTGCCTCATTACACCCCCTCCCTTGCTAACCACCATTAGGCTTCCTTCCCCAAGGGTTAAATGGAAACCTGCCCTTTTGAAAGACTTGCTCCATTCCTGAGATCAACCAGCTGTCTGATGCTGCCCCTTCCTTTTGCAGGTTCGACACAACCGACCAGCATTCCTTCCTGATAAGAGACCCCTGACCATGGAGTGGCTCTGACTAGCCTATGGAGGCTGCACACAGACAGTCTTCGCATCCTTGGCTTCACCCTCTGACATATAGGGCCTACTGTAATCCATTTAAAGGTTAAGTCTCCACCCCAGCGTGAACATGGATGCATGCTGCACACAATTAGCCAATTATGCATGTCTATGCTTCCTCTTTGTGAATATTCATAGCTCCTCCTATAACCTGTTGAATATGTACATTTGGCCACGCTGTTCAGCATAAATCCCTGTCTTCCACTCTCGCAGTGCCTGTTTCCAGCATCTGGCTAGAGACTATGCTTCCCAGCCTGTCAGAATGGTGACCTGCTGGCTGCAGCCTTTTTAAAGAAGTGATCCTTTCCAAATGTAGGAACCTTATCATTCTTCAACTGACACTTTGCTGGTCACTGAGCAAGGTGTGCTGGGAGGAGTGAGGGCTCTGAGGTCTCGCAGGTTTTCTGGGGAGCTTGATTCTTATGGAGTGACCTACAAATAGCACATGTATTGAAAACACATCAACCAGTCTCAGAGCAGCCCTGTCTCTTGGGTTTTAGGAGTTCGACCTGGAGCTGTAGGGGGGTGAGATAGAAAGTGGCCTCCCTCCTGGAGAACCCAGTGAACAAACCACCATGCCCCACGCCCCATCCCCGACTTTAGCATTAAGCGTTGCAGAGGCTGAGAAGTAGGGGTTCCAGCCACGGTTGGGTCTTGTGTTGACCATTTTCCAGTGCAACCACAGGCTCCCTAAGATTCAAGCAGCACTGTGGGCTTATGACCTCACACATTTACCATTGCAGAAATTATGCCAAAGCATGATCAAATTATCTGCCCACAATGTATAGGTTGCTTACAAAAATAACCAGCCCTCCTCTGTTCCTTACTTCAGGCTCTAAGATCTGCCTGATTTCTACTACTGTAAGAACATAGAAAGTAATCTCATTACATGCATGATTTTTACCCTATCTTCATTCCAGCTATGTTATTCTTTATGCTTTTCCCTTAGCTAAAATTTCGATTTCCGCTTTACATTTTTGGCATTTTAAAATAAAACATTATATCACTTCTATCAGCACCACGTTTCTTGTCTTTCCAAGTCTGCTGATGCTTTCAAAATCCCCACGTCCCAAACTCAGCACCATTAAATTGGAGTGAGGCTGGTGGTGGAATGGGAGGTGGGTGCTTAGGGATTATTCCACTTCCTCCTTTCCTCCTGCACTCTGTTCCAAAGCCAGAGAGCTCCGTGTCCTTTTGCTGTATCTGAACAACTGTGGGAGGAATCATTTTGTATGCATGCAGTACACACAATGCCATCTTTCCTAGAAGTCTCAGGCTCTGGGGTATATATCAATATCACCTGAGGAGCCTGTTAAAACTTTCGATTCCAAGACTCAGGCCATTGAGTCATTCGCTTCACTGGTTTGTAAATATCTTTGTACATTAGGGATATTAGTCCTCCATCAATTCATCATCTCCTTCTGGTCTAGCACGTGTTTTTCACGTTTATATTGTTGTTTTGTTTCATTTTCTATTTGGAGTGGGAAGCTGTATGGAAGTGGTCATCTTGATGTCATCAATGATAATTGCCTCTGTCCCTTCACAGTTTCTGGACCCGGTCGGGCTTACATATGACCCACTGAAATCCCTGGGTCAGTATAGCCATCATCTTGTATTCAGAAGCATCAGCCCACATTTTAGAAAGCATTGAAAAACAAGTTAAGTTGTTGGTGAATTAATTTCAAACAATTTGCTCAGTGCCTTCAGGCGCCATTCTAGACCCTGAGAAAGCTTTGAATAAAACAGAATTCCTGTCCTCAGACAGTTTACACTCTGGTGGGGAGAGACAGGCAAGTGAACCAGTAAATAGACAGTATATCCTGTGGGGAATCAGTAGTGTAGATGCCTGCAAGGAGATTGCTACTACTTTACCCAGGGTGTCAAAGGAAGGCCTTTCTACTAAGGTGAGTCCTTTCAGGAAATCTGAAGAGGTGTCTGGAGAGGCTGCCTGGGAGCCAGCGGTGTGCTTATATTCCCAACACACATAATGCCCCTTTCAGGGGGTCATCTCTTCTATCCCTCTCCCACCATCCTACACAGCACAAGAACTGGGCTTCAATCTCTGGTATGACGCTCCCAAACTCTCCAAAATCTTCTCCAACCAAAACTCACCTTCTAGAATCTTCCCTTCACTCACCTGGACCCCCGTTATGCATTTCTCTCTTAGACATTCTTCATTCTTTCTAACAGGAATGCATCCAGCTCTCCTCTACCTCATCAATATAGCAAAGCTCTGAGAATCAAGCCTGCAAACTTTGAGAGAAGGCAAGAAAGGCTGTGGATATTTATATCACAAACAAACATATTTTTTGCACCTTCTAGAAAGGCCTGACATCCCAAGATTTAGATATTCAAATGTTTTGGAGGTACATTACTTAAAACACTTAAAGTTTAGTTCCACACGGAAATTATTTTGGTGTGACCAAGAGCCAGGTGTGGTGGTTCACACCTAAATCCCAGCACTTTGGGAGGCTGAGGTGGGAGGATCGCTTGAGTACAGGAGCTTGAGACTAGCCTGGGCAATACACTGAGACCCAATTTCTACAAAAAGTTAAAAAATTAACCAGGCATGGTGGTGTGCATCTGCAGTTCCACCTATTGCGGGCAAAGGGCAGGAGGATCGCTTGAGCCTGGGAAGTTGAGGCTCTGCAGTGATTCTGCCACTGTACTCTGGCCTGGATGACAGAGACCCTGTCTCTAAATGAATGAAAGAAAGAAAGAAAGAAAGAAAGAAAGAAAGAAAGAAAGAGAGAGAGAGAGAGAGAGAGAGAGAGAGGGAGGGAGGGAGGGAGGGAGGGAGGGAGGGAGGGAGGGAGGGAAGGGAAGGGAAGGGAAGGGAAGGAAGGAAAGGAAGGAAAGAAGGGAAGAAAGGAAGGAAGGAAGGGAAGCAAGGAAGGAAGGAAGGAAGGAAAGAAAGAAGGAAAGAAAGAAAGGAAAGAAAGGAAGGAAAGAAAGGAAAGGAAAGAAAGAAGGAAAGAAAGAAAGAAAGAGAAAGAAAGAGAGAGAAATGACCAAGGAGCCACTTTTATCTATTTTTTCGTAAATGGCTAGCTGGCTATCCCATTATTGGTTTATAGATCCCTAAGATCTATTCCATTAAAGCAGAGTCTCAGCACCTGGACTAAAAGTGGACTTCGGAGTTCAACCACCTGACTTCACATTTTGGCTTTACCACTTGGTAGCTGTGTGGCCTTTGTTCCACAACTTAAGCCCTCGTGCCTCAGTTTCTAGTTTGGTAAACATTGTACAAATAGAAGAGTTGCTATGAAGATTGAAAGAATTACATACAATGCACTTAGAACACACACAGACTTTTATAAGGAGCAAAATTTAGCAACACGACATTAGATCATTCTGGAGGTCCTGCCTTGCTGACTGTGTAAGATTCTTTTTGCTTTTTTAAAAGACTTTAATCTTATTATTGGCAGTTCATGAACACACAGACATGCACTTTCCTTTCCTCATCTCCAAAGGCAAGATCACCCTAAACCAACTTGCAAAATCTTTTGAAGCTAAAGATTCACTGTTCTGGAAGCTCCTGCAGCCACTCAGCCACGTAATAATTCTTGTGGCACAAGGTCAGCCAGGTAAACATTTCAGGCTTTGTAGGCCATGGGGTCTCTGTTGCACCTGCTCAGTTCTGCTGTTGAAGTGTGGAAGCGGCAGGAGAGGAACACACAGATGGGCGTGACTGTGTCTCCATGACAGCTTTGTTTACAAAAAGAGGTGGCACGCCAGATTTTGTCCCGGGGCTGATTTTGTCATTTGCTGACTGCTGCATTAGAGGGAGAGACGGAAAAGTGGGGCATTGTTTTGGTTGGGGTGTTTGACTCTGATCATCAAAGGGAAGTAGGTTTGATATTCCATGGTGGCTAGGAGTATGATGAGAACGCCAGCCACACTACGAATCCTCACGCTACTGTACCTCTGACCAGAGGCAAATGTTAGTGAAAGACTACGGCAACTCCATACAGGCAGCCTCTGAGAGGTAAGATCCTTCCAGAAGAAAGGTCTGGTTCTCTTCCCTGGGCAAAAAACACCAGCCAGCCTAGGTACTTGCTGGTCCCAAGATCAGCTGTGGAATCCAGAACCATGGTCCCCATCTGTGTTCCCCCTCCTGTCTTAGAGTGTCTTAGAAGATTGAATTACCTCTTTTTCCTTTTTCATTTCTCCCTCTGAAATGACAGTGATCATAATTTTCATCTTCCTGCTTTCTTTCCCCTTAATAATATAAAACAGTGTTTATCGGCCAGGCACAGTGGCTCACACCTGTAATCCCAGCACTTTGGGAGGCTGAGGCAGATGGATCACTTGATGTGAGGAGTTTGAGACCAGCCTGGCCAACATGGCGAAACCCTGTCTCTACTAAAAATACAAAAATTAGCCAGGTGTGGTGGCGGGCGCCTGTAATCCCAGCTACACAGGAGGCTGAGGCATGAGAATCGCTTGAACCCAGGAGGTGGAGGTTGCAGTGAGCCGAGATCTCGCCATTGCACTCCAGCCTGGTGACAGAGTGAGACTCCATTTCAAAAAAACAAAAAAGAAAAAGAAAGAAAACAGTGCTTATCAAGCTCTGGTGTATATCAGTATTACCTGAGGAGCCTGTCAACACTTTAGATTCTATGTTTGTCATGTAGGCCATAAATTATAGGACAGAAAGATGAGATGCAAATAGAACATGAGGAGAAGTGGGCATTACCTTGAGACAGAAGACTCAGAAAACAGGGGATCATAGCCACATCCTCCTTAATGTCAAGGCTGGATGTGAGGCTGCATCGCCCTCCATGGGGGAAGCAGCTTACACAATTGTATGTAGGCTCGTTGGGCCACGTGTGATGAGGGCATCCTTGCGTGCATGCACACATGCTGGCCAAGGAGGGTGGGATGCCACAGTCCCCTTTGGATTGCCAACTGGACCTCTTATCCTGGAACTTCCCGCCCTACCTCCTGGTTCTTGGTCATTCTGTTTCTCCTGCGTGATCCTACCCCCCACCCCGCCCTGATTGATTCAGGGATCCTAACTGGGCTAATCAGATATCCTGCGACAAGGCATTTAGGACAGTAAATGGAGAGAGACACAGACTAGGACTTCTCTGGATCTCTTGGAAAGATCCACGAATTCTTGCTGCTGAGGCCTCAGGGCCAGTCTGGTTCCTTCCCTTCCTGAGTCCTGAGGGTTCAGCTCTTTTTGGAATTCCGTAAATGCCCCCAAATCCTTCCAACACATTGTTTGCTTGTTAAAAAAGTGGTCGTGTGAATATAAAAGAAGAGGGACGAAAACTGGATTCAGAAAGGCTGGAAATGTATCCCTTAATGCCTTTTGTCCAGATTTGGTTCAAAGGCTTCTAGCAGCCAGTGCAGACAGAGGAAATGCGCTATTACACGATTAATGTCTGCTAGAGACAAAAGCAGTCCCGTTGATCAGAAGTTCAGCTATTCTTGGTACCAAGACCAGACAGCAAGTTCCTCCCAGGGGCCTTGTGTAATGAACGAAGTCTTCATGACATCCCTCCAGTGGACACAGTGGCTTTCACGGGGCTGTTTCTTCCCAAGACCCTCCAGATGGGCCGATGGCATTACTCACAGGCTCAATTTCATGAAGTTAGTTCTAGGGCAGTGGGGGAGCAATCTACAGTCTGGGAACCCTGATCCAGGAATAGATTTCAAGTACGGAGAAAAGCAGACAGATTTTGCCTCCTCCAGGCCAGCCTCATGCCAGGCACAAATGAACGGCCATCTGGAAGGAGCTCAGGGTGACCTCCCAGTCAAGTAACACCACAGCACAGAGACCTGGAGCTTCGTGCCTTATCAGCCATAGGGCTCGGGGAGGGATGGCTTCTTTCAGGGAAAGCCAAGGAGCTGGCCTCACTGATTCTCAAGGGCACCAACATGAGCAATTGCCCTGGGGACCAGGCTTGCTCTGTTCTGAACTCCCCATCCCAGGGGGCTTCTCTGAAGAAGCCATGCCCCCACCCCAACCTAATCAATCCTTGCCCTTGTGAGTAGCTGAGAGCCATGTCATAGCCTTCCTGAGCCCGGCCCCTGGCTGTCTACCCCGATGGTGTAACCGGGCTGTAACAGGCTCTGCCTTCTCCATAGTACCTGACAAGCCAGAAGAGTGAACCTGGGGATTTTCTACCAAGGACATTGAAGGGCCTTGGAAATACTCAACAGAAAAAGGCAGCCGAAAGGAGCCAGGAGTCAGGCCTGTCTTCAGTGGCCAACGTCCCACCATGTCCACCAACAATAAAGAGCTGCAGTGCCTGACTCCCTGTGTCCCAAGGGAGGGCCCAGGCCCCGGGTACACACGGGCCCCAGCAGGCAGCCCCAGGTCCCGCTCCCTTCGCAGCTGTCTGCACTTCTGCCATAGGAAAAAAGCAATTCACAGGCTCACTGAGCTCACAGACCACACTCAGGCCTGGAGGAAGGCGCAGATGGCAGGCCCAGCCGGGGCAGTGCAGGCACCCTAGGTGAGGAAGCAGCAGTTTTAAGTTTCTGGAATGAGAGGTAGCTGAGGGGCTCATATACCCCAGTGTGTGGATTAGGGGCACAGGGGTGTGGAGCTATGAGTGGACTGTGGGCCCCTACCCAGCAATGAGGCCTTCAGGTACATTGCAGAGGATGATCAGGGGCCTCACAGTCTCTGCTTCTGAGCCCCAGCCTCATCCCCAGGACCCCTTGGGTGCTGGACACTGCCGGGGTGAGGCCTCCCGAAGGTACAGCCCCCACATTCCTCAGCCCGCAGCTGGAGCTCCTGCAGTACAGGAGATGGGTTGGGGGACTCACTCTCTGACTCCACCTGCCTGTCTCGGCCCCTGGCTTTAAGGAAAGGGTGGAGGGGAGTCTGGGAGCTTCCTCCTGTGCAGACCACAGGCCCCAATGGAAGGGGCCATGGCCAGGTTCAGCATGGGCCCCGAGGTCTAGCTCTTCACTGCGGCAGCACCCCATGTGGACACCAGCAGAGTCATCCCCAGGCCTGTGCCTGCGTTCCCTCACTGTGAGCACAGTGTCTGCTGGGACCCGCTGAGATCCAGAGGGGCTGGGAGTCTTGGATCCACCTCTGATAGAGGTTGAGTGTTTCTTCCCCGCTCTCAGGTTGAAATTGGATCCCCGGTGTTGGAGGTGGGGCCCCGTGGGAGGTGTTTGGGTCCTGGGGGCAGATGCCTCATGAATGGCTGGGTTGCCTCCCTGCGGCAGTGAGTCCTGCTCTCTTAGCTGGGTGCTTTAAAGACTCCAGTACCTCCCCCCTCTCTCTTGCTCCCTTGCGTGTGAGCTCTGCATACCCCGGCTTTCCTTCGCCTTCCTCCATGAGTGGAAGCAGCCTGAAGCCCTTGCAAACACCTTGGCAGAGATCACGACAGCAGGAGAAGGTCCAGCCTGGCCCACTCCATCCTGCATCCAGCCTCACAGGCTGGCTGGCTTTGCTCATTACCTGGGCGGAGGCCAAGCTAACAAAGGGAGGAATTTAGTTTATAGTTTAATTTGAAAGCAAGGATGATAATAGTACCTCCCTGAAACCAACTGTTCCTTGCTCAGGGACTGAAAACCAGCTTTGTGAGATGAATGAAAGACCACAGATTAGGATTATGGGAGGGGCCTGAACCGGGCTAACATGCAGGTGTAGTTTCTATGATCTCGTACTGCTCTGGGGTCATGGAGCCAGAGGTCACAAGACTTGCAACTTCCCCAGTTGCTCCTGTAGATAGTATCACTATTTAACACCTAAGATTGGTCTTTTGAGATAATTTTTTAGACTTGAATTCTGGCAACCAATGGACCCCACCCAGACCCATGACTCATGACTCAGCTGACCCTGTGGCCCTCACCTAGAGGCCGACTCAGTGCTGGAGGCCCGTTTCCACACCACTGTGATCTCATCCCCAACCAATCAGCAGTGCCCGTTCCCTAGCCCCCTGCCCATCAAATTGTCCATAAAAACCCTAAGCTCTGAGCCTTTGGGGAGACTGATTTGAGTGATAGCTCCATCTCCCATGTGGCTGGCCTCACATTAAACATTTTACTACAATACCAAGATCTCGGTGAATTGGTTTTATCTGTGCAGTGGGCATGAGGCTCCCACTGGATGGCTGTGCCCTCCCCAGAAGCAGATGCTGGCACCATGCCTCTGTGCAGCCTGCAGAACCATGAGCCAAATAAACCTCTTCCCTTTATAAATGACCCAGCCTCAGGTACTCCTTTATAGCAATGCAAAATGGAGCAACACCGCCTCCCATCCTGGACCTCCACACTCAGCCATCTGTAGGTTCTCCCCATGCCTTCTCCAAGCCCTGCTACATCCCAGCATTCCCCAGCTAGCCCTTAAGGCTGAGCACGGGGCCTTGGCTGTCCCCAGGCATTCCTGGTGGCTCAACTCTTTCTTCTGCTGTTACCAACACCCGCAACTTCTGTTCCACATCTCGCCACCGCCCCAAAGCTCAGGTCTGGGAGCTTGACATTTTTTTCAAGATGTATTCATTTTTAATTACCAATAAGTGAAGCTAGTCTCAAAAAATTGGAATATCAGATAAAGCAACATTTTCCTTCCACCCATCCACTCCTAATTCTTCACTTAGAAGCTACCACTAGCAGTCCAATGCATGTCCTTTTAAAAAATAAAAAAGGTATATATGTGTGTACACACATACATATATGCACATACATACACACATACATCTATACAAATCCAAAACACACACACACACACCCATATATGCTGTGTTCAAATTATTATATGCATATGCTTTCTTCCCCCATAAATGCTTTCCTTACAGTCCCTTCTAGCTTTGATTATCTGTCTGTCTGCAATTCTGTCAGTTACTGAAAGAAAACAGTTGAAAGAGATTGAAAATCTAAACATAAATAACAATGAAAGATAGTGAAAAGGAGGAATACTTTAAGAAATTGATATGGTTTCAAAAAGAGATTTTTCCAGACCCAGTTTCTAAAAGAACAGCTCATTTCCCAGGCTGAACAGTGGACAGCACCAAACCTCCCACCAAATGCTGTACTGAGCTGCAGCCTAGGCCCTGAGGACTGAACAACTTCTCCTGCACCTCCTGGTGCCACTGCTGGGCTCCCAAAGGGACCCTCTGCCTGCAGGGACCCTCCTCCTCCTCTCCCCGCTCCTCCCTCTCACCCTCTCCTCCCACCCCCATGGAGGGCTCTGTGCAGGAGAATGATGTAGAGGGAGGCGGAGGGTGATGGTTCCTGCCAGAGCTTCAAGACCTTCCCATGGGAGCCAGCTCACAGCTCCTACACTCCTTTGGGCACCCTTCCGATCATCAGGTTCCCTGTGCTGCTCTCCGCCCCGCTCAGAAAGCCTGCCCTGTCCTAACTGAGCACAGGCAGTACCATGGAGACAATCTCGTCCTTTCTTCTGAAGCCTGCTTGCCTCTGACTAGGAGCCCTTGAAGGCAGGAATCCTGTCTTTTCATCCACCAATTCCAGCACATTCAATCTACACAACATCGCAAGTTCCCCAACAAGGCAAACTGCGCACACATCCTCCTTCTCTTTGACAAATCCCACCTGTGTGACGTGGAGCCCTCACGCAGCTTTCCCATCAGGACGGGCCTGATTTCCTTCCTCTGTACAGCACTTTGATCCCTCATCTCTAGACGATGTTTATACAAGGAGATGGGGAAAGAAAGGGGCACCTTAAGGCTAAAGTGCACAAACTTAAAGGAAATTGTGACAACCCCACAGCCTTGAGTGAGGGGTGTGTGTAGAGCATGGTCAGGACCTGCCCCCCACAACACACACACAACCCACAGGCGGGAGCACCTTCATTTGTTTTATGTAGAAAGACGAAGTGCAAAATCTGTCCAAGAGATAGATCTGCTCCACTCACACAGAATACGGCCACCATCCCCTCCACCTCCAAGGTGGTGGATGAAGTAGTGAGGCTGACAGAGACCTGGCTTCTCGTCCTACAGCCACTGCTGCCTGATGGAAGAGTTCGAAGTCAGAAACACCGAAATTCCCCTCTTGCTGCCGCCTGGCCTTGCAGATATAAAGCGTTGCTCTAACACACAGTATTGCCAGTCTTTCTGAGTAAAAGTCAGCCTGGAGAGAAAGGTGAACTATCCCAGGCCTCTGATGGTCAAGGACAAATTTGTTTTCCACATCACTATCTTCCCCAATACAAATGTTCTAAGTCAGTAGAAAGAACTGGAAAGAATAGACAAAGGAAAGGAGAAAGTAAACGCCATAAACTTTCTAGTTCGTGGTATATTTCATATTATCATCGACGGCGCTCAAATGAAAATACCTTATCCTCAGATCACAAACACTAATGAACCTACGGAACTCTTTCTTAAACACTCACATTTCCTCCTTCCATTTCCCCAGCAAATCCCTCCTAGCTTCCATTCCCTGCTGCCCAGAGCCCCAAACAGAAAAAGTTAGGATTTGCCAGAAACAGGTGTAGTCAAACCCTCAAATACCAAACCACAGAGAGTGGAAGCCATATCAGGCTGACCAAAGCAGTATGGTCCCGTGGCCCCGGGTGAGGGCCTAAGCTTGGCTCCATGCCTGCAGTTTCCAGAGAAGGCTGGAGGCAAGTGTGTCATCTGATTGTCCATACAAGCTGTACTGTGAGTATCAGGATGTTTACAGTTAACCCAAGGACCTTGCTGGACCAGAAGGATTACGCTTTGATAGATTAGCATGGGAAGAAAGTGACAGGTGGAAACTGATGTTCTGGAGAGAGATTTGTTTAGGGGGAAGTGGGGGTGGGGAGAAACAGATACAGGCACTCAGCACCAAGCTGCTCACAGCCACCTGGCAGCTTCGGTGCCACCGTGGATGTGTGGCTGCAGAAGAGACCCCCAGCACCCCAGCACCCACCTGAAACAATAGCATCAAGGTCTTACTTTTTCTGGAGCGGGAGAAAAACCTGATGCCCCCGGGCGAGGTAGCAGGGTTGGAGTTGGGGGAAGACTCTTTGGAGGAGGAGCGGAAGATCCCACTGAAGCTCATGCGTCGAGGGGAGCGTGGCGGGGACTCCTGGTAGGAGAACGGGAACACGGTTTTGGGAGAGCCGGGGCTGGTCTTGGGCCTCACAGGTGCAGACATGGGGCTGGAGGGCCGGGGCTGGGGGCCTCTGGAGAAGAACCCTTTGGAGGGGCTGCCCGGGCCGAAGGGGCTGTCCACCTGCAGAAAAACAGACGAATGGATGCAGTCACTCCACGCTCTGGACACGCTGCCTCCTGCCCTGTATGAAACTTATCATTGTCCTCTCTCACATGCGGGCCCCCCATAGTACCCTCCCAGAGAAACAGCCCTAAGCTCTTCCACAGAGGTAGCCACTGAATGGTCTGCAGGTAGCACCTGCCCCAAGGATGGCCCCTCACAGGCTGGCAGCACCACGTCCTGGAGGTCCACTGACCATCCTGTCCCACTCCTTAGAAGGGGCTTCCAGGAGGTAGAGGGGAGGAAGGGAAGCGGAGCTCAAAATGAGCGTCTCCCTCCTTTATTATGGGCCTGCCTGCCTTCACCTCTCAAGACCTCACGTCCATCCAAGTTCTGACCACACAGGACTGCAGTCCTCTTGCCTGCCTATAAGATCCCTATGTTCCAGAACAGAGCGGGCCTGGAGCTCCATCCTGAGACCTCAGTCCTAGGTGATGATGAATTTTTCACCTCCAAGCTGCTTCAGCATTTGAAAGACTGAGGTTGCCAACAGAAGTCAGGAGAAAAGTTCACAAAGCCAGCCGGGTACGGTGACTCACGCCTGTAATCCCAGCATTTTGGAAGGCCGAGGCGGGTGGATCAACTGAGGTCAGGAGTTTGAAACCAGCCTGGCCAACATGGTGAAACCCCATCTCTACTAAAAATAAAAAAATAAAAAAAAAATTAGCTGGGCATGGTGGCGGGCGCCTGTAATCCCAGCTACTCAGGAGGCTGAGGCAGGAGAATCTCTTGAACCCCGAAGGCGGAGGTTGCAGTGAGCCGAGATGGCGCCATTGCACTCCAGCCTGGGCAACAAAACGAGACTCCATTTCAAGAGAAAGGAAAGAAAGGAAGGAAGGAAGGAAGGAAGGAAGGAAGGAAGGAAGGAAGGAGGGAGGGAGGGAGGGAGGGAGGGAGGGAGGGAAGGAAAGAAGGAAGGAAGGAAGGAAGGAAGGAAGGAAGGAAGGAAGGAAGGAAAGAAAGAAGGAAAGAAGGAAGTTAACAAA
Organism: Homo sapiens; assembly: GCF_000001405.40. Classification (NCBI taxonomy): domain Eukaryota; kingdom Metazoa; phylum Chordata; class Mammalia; order Primates; family Hominidae; genus Homo; species Homo sapiens. The sequence goes on from NC_000007.14 coordinate 151,782,457, forward strand.
GCCCCAAACCTCTGAGACTCACTTCACCAATGATTTAAAATTCTAGTCATGGCTTAAAAAATTATCAGACCCCATAACTTTAAGCCAAGGCACAGAGCTCATAGCAGACTTTGAGAAATATCTCACGTGCCCGCAGCCGTGTTCCTGCTGGATGCGTGGAGGAGCTCCTGCCCTGCCTCTGGGTGCCGGTATTTGGCCCCTGCTCTGCCACCTGCTGAGCCAACCTGGGCATGTTACTTGGTCTCACCGAGCCTCAGCTCCCTCATCTGTAAAATGAGGATGGCCGTGCCCTCACCTCAAGGGCTGCTTGAACGTCAGATGAAGCCGCGTGAGGCCAGGAAGCACACGGTGCGTGGTAAACAGCTCTTGTCCTACCACTTGGGAAACTTGCAAGCAACACTGAGTGGAAAGGACCTCAGAGATGACCCAGTTCAGAAGCAAGAAGGGCGAGTAACTCGTCCGCAGCGCTCGCGGGGAGCCAGGACCAGGGCAGACGCGGGAAATACTGCCCTCGGGCGGCCGCGCTGTGCTGAAAAGGGAACACAGGACACCCCACAGGCAGCCTCGGTGCCACTTCGGGGTCTCTCTGTCCCACCACGGGGTGCGCTGTCCGGACCGCGGCCTGGGGACGTTCTTCCGCCACTAGAGGGCGGCCCAAGCCCCGAGCCCGCGGCCCCGGGAGGATAGGATGCCCGTGGCGTGGACCCGCGCAGCACAGCCTCCCCGCGCGGCCTCTCCAGCCGAAAGAGCCGGCGCCGCCACGTGGAGGTGTAGGTCCGGCCTGGCGCGGACACCTTCGTGAGTGGGCCCGGCAGGAAGAAGAGTGTGGTGCTATAGGACCTTGTAACTCAAGCTAAGTTTTGAGTTTTTCTTTTTTTGTGTAGTTCTGTTTTTTGTTTTTGAGACAGGGTCTCCCTCTGTCGCTCAAGGCTGCAGTGCACTGGCGCAATCTCAGCTCATTGCAACCTCCACCTCCCGGGCTCAAGCAATCCTCCTACCTCAGCCTCCTGAGTAGCTGGGATTACAGTTGTCCATGCCCAGCTGATTTTTTTTTTTTGACCATTTAATATGAAAAGCATTTAGATTCTCTGTTTATAGAATATCCCAGTTAGCCACTATTCCACCTAACTATGGGAATCAGGACAAATCCTGAGAATAAATTTACAAACAAGAGAGTCTTCAGGCAGGGGGTGGTGTCTCACACCTGTAATCCCAGCACTTTGGGAGGCCGAGGTGGGTGGATCACCTGAGCTCGACCAGCCTGGGCAACATGGCAAAACCCTGTCTCTACAAAAAATACAGAAATTAGCCAGGTGTGGTGGCCTGTAGTCCCAGCTACTCAAGCAGCTGAGGTGGGAGGATCACTTGAGCCCCAGAGATGGAGGTGGAGGTTGCAGTGAGCAAGGTGACACTACTGTACTCCAGCCAGCTTGGGTACAGAGCAAGACCCTGTCTCAAAAAAAAAAAAAAAAAAAAAAAAAAAGAGGTTCTTCTTCAAGTGGTGGGTGCTGTGTGTGCAGGTCTAGGGTGGGATGGGGGCTGAGAGAAGCCAGTAGGAACAACACACACAGGCACCAGGGTGGTCCTATCACAAGGTGACATAAGCTGGTCCTGGGTGGAGGCCCGGGTTTGGTCACAGCTCAGTTTCCCGCAATGTGGACAACGACTTGGTTGTCCAAGCCTCGTTCCCAGGGCTGAGACAATCACGACAGCAGCCTCGAGGGTGTGAACCGGAAGAGGAGCCGAGGCCACATGGGAGGACCGGAGGGAGGGGTGGGATTTTGGAGCTGCTGGAAAGGTGAGCCCGGACCTGGTGCATGGACGTGCTCTGTTTACAGCATAGGGAGCTTGCTGGGGAGCCGGGGGAGAGGGCCGAGCCAATGCAAATGTCCAGTCCTACAGGGAAACAGAGACACATAGGGGAGCGGGGCCCCAGGAGAGCTTGCAGAGTGCCCACAAGGCCGAAGCACCATAAGCACCATGCAGATGGATAAATGGCCCGGAGCTGAAACCTGCCCCTTAACAGAGGCCCTGACCCAGAGGAGGCCCTGACAGCTGGCTAGGCTTCAGAGACGCAGTGACAGGGCCGGGGAGGTGTCCAGTGCCCAGAGACAGAGGAGAAGGGGTTTGAAGCACAGAGACAGAGGGCCGGCCATTCACTTGGGCCACCATGAGGGTGGGGGTCACGGGGGAAGTTGAGCCATGAGCCCCTGGAGAACCAGTCATGAAAGGCCAGTTTAACCATATTTGATGAGCAAGGGGGACCCCAGGATTATCCTGAATGGGGTTCCATTCTGTATTCTGAATCCAGGCCAGTGGAGTCGGGCATCCAGGGATCAGGCCTGAGGAGGGAGCCCTAGGAAGCAGCCCTGCCAGTCCTGTCTCTGGAAAATGGCCGAAGCATGCTGGATGCTGGGCCCTGTCTGACCCCTCTCACCGGGAACCTTGGGGGCCAGATCACACTCCCAGACGGTGGGAAAGCCAGGCGGAGGGACAGGCCTGCTGGGGTGGGCTGCGTGGCGGTGCAGATAACAGGCGCCAGCTGAAGCCACCAGGGACAGGGCCTCAGGCCTTGCTCTTGGGCAAGCTATAGCCAAATGATATGTTGGTGAATGCAACCGGATGATTCCCCGGGTATTGACAAGACTCCCAAGTGTGTGCCTGGCTCCGCAGAGCTAATGGAGAGCAGGCATTCAGCCGTCTGCGGAGCAGAGCTCTGCCTATGGGGCCATTTGTCATGCAGCTGCCAGAGAGGAAGCTGGGGCCAGGGCCTGGCTGTGGCCCCTGTGTCTCTCCCACACTCTCAGATCTTCCGTGCAAGGTTTTCACTGGAAAGAAGGGTTTTGCAGAGTCAAACAGGAGGAAGACGACCCAGTGCCCGCGGGGCTGGTCCCACAGCCTTGCACGGGGTTGGTGGCCCCTTCCTGCCACTCCACTCTCTGCTGGCCCAGAAGCTCAAGGCCATTCCCTGGCAGTCTTTGCTGGATGGGCCACGAGAGCTGCTAATAAGGTTGCTTGTTCAGGGCAGGGTGGGGAGGGCACTGGCACCAGTGGAGCCCCACAGGCCGACACCAATTTGATTCAGTTGTGTGTAATTCAAATGCTTAAAGAGGAGATTTGCTTTTTCCAGCATGGGAACTCCTGCCTTCATCCCAGGCTAGCCGGCACCCAGAACCCATCCCAGACCCTGTACGTAGCCCCCAGATCACTAGCTCTGTCTGCTGTCACCTGCCGGAGGGGTCTGTGGGTGGCAGAATGCCAGGAAGCACGTCCCCTACCAGGCCTCCACCCACCCTTACTTCCTGGCTGCAGGAGAAACCTGCAAGCAGCCTGGACCTCTGCGCCCTGCCACGGCCACCTCGACCCTCACCTGATGCTGTGGCTCCCTCTCCAGAGCCCCCCACCCCACCCCACACTCTTTCTGGCCACCTGACCCTACACAGTCAACAACCTCCTCGAGACACTAGTTTCCTAATGGGAGGGAAATTCACCAGTGCAGGAGGGACGGCGAGGAGCTAAAGAGAGGAAAGGAAAAGTGGAAAGAGAGAAAAAGGCGTGTGGAGAGGGTGCAACACGAGGTGGAAGGAGAGAGCCCAGCGCTGGGGGTGGGCGCTGGTGGGCAGCAGGGCAAAGTCCTGCCAGTCGAACTCAGCCCAAAGACCACAGATGGTCGGCAGTGACCGATACCTTCCACCGGGCTTAGCTCACTGCTCATCTTCCTCCACTGCCTCTGCCCATGTTAGGGGGGTCTAGTGGGCCACAGTCAGTGCCACGTGAGGAGAAGAAAAAGGGGTGAAGCCCAGGAGGCTCTCTAGTGGGATAGCCCGGCCGATACGCCAGGCTTGGCCATGCGAGGTGAGCTGTCGCAGGATGGGCTCGGTTACGGCCAGGTGTGCAAGCGGACATGCGGGTGGGCGTGAGGGTGAACACACAGGTGGAAGTGGGCTCAGGCTCTGCCTGCCTCCGTGGCACCTCAAGTGAGCTGTGAGAAACTTCTGGAAAGGAGGTCTTACCTTTCGAGAGGAATGCTTTCCGGAACCCTCCAGGTCTCCGTCCAGGAGCGGCATGGCGAAGGAGCTCAGGTCCTAGGGTGGACAGAGAGCACGTGGTCAGTGACAGTGGCCCTCGGGCCCAGGGGCTGCATGGAACTCTACGTGGGTGTCACCTCCCCCTTCCTGAGACCTTATCCTTCAAATCCACCATGAAGAAGGGATGTGGACGTGTTTGCTACACCCAGCCCCCAAAGCCCCTGACCACCATGCACATCCGCTTCCAGAACGTGCAGTCAAACTTCCAGGAGCAGCCATGACCTCCCAACACCCCAGGGAAGGAGGAAAGAAGAAATGGCTGGGACTAAAGGAGTCAGGAAGGCAGGCAGAAAGGGTGGAGGGAGGAGAGCCCGTCTCAGGCTATTCTGCTGATGGACATGATTTTACCCCACAGCACGGAACATGGGTCCAGGGACATGTGTCTGCCTAGGAAGATGATGGGACAGGGATGGGGAGGGTGACACTGGGGTGGCGGCTGAGGCAAAACTATTAGCAGAGTCTAATGACATCGTGGCCAAAACAGAGTCTAAAATAGATTTGGGGAAAGTAGCTCACCACACACTTACTGTGTCTGAAACAGCCCTGCCCCTTCTTCCTCTTGAATCTTGCCTCCACACCAGGCAGAATCCTGCCCAGTCATCCTCAAATCGGGCACAGCTGCATCCCTAACCTTTCTTTTTCATTTTAAAGTTTTTAGTTGTGGTAAAATACACATAACATAAAATTTGCCATCTCAACCATTTTAAGTGTGCGGTTTGGTGGCATGAAGCACATTGACACTGCTGTGTAGCCGTCACCACTGTCATCTCTAGAACCTTTCCATCTTCTCAAACCAAAACGCTGTTCCCATCAAACACTAACTCCCCCTCCCCCTCCCCCTAGTGCTTGGCAACCACCCTCCTATCTCTTTGAATCTGACCACTCTAGGTACCTCATATAAGTAGCATCAGGCAGTATTTGTGACTGTCTGACTCCACTTAGCATAATGTCTTCAAGGCTCCTCCAGGTGGTAGTGTGTGCCACAGTTCCCTTCCTTTTGAAGGCTGAATAATATTCCATTGTATGAGTAGACCACATTCCGCTTACGCATTCATCAGTTGATGGACATTTGGGTTGCTTCTACCTTCTGACTATTGTGAATAACGCTGCTATGAGTGTTATGGTATGAATTGTGTCTCCCTTCCCACCAAAAAAAATCTATATGTTGAAGTCCTGCCCCCCAGGACCTCAGAATGTGACTGTATTTGGAGATAGGGTCTTTAAGCAGGCAATTAATTTAAAATGAGGTCATTAAGGTGGGCCCTAGTCCAATATGACTGGTGTCCTTCAAGGAAGAGATTAGGACACAGGCACCTACAAGACAGAGACCACACATAGAGACACAGGGAGAAGACAGCTACCAACCCAAAGAGAGGGGCCCCAGAAAAACCAACCCTGCTGATATTTTGATCTTAGACTTCTAGCCTCCAGAATCATGAGAAAACATATTTCTGTTGTTTAAGCCACCCCACTTAATCTGTAGTGCTTTGCTATGGCAGCCTAGCAAACCAATATAATAGGTGTACGAATATCTCTTCAGGACCCTGCTTTCAATTCTTTCCAGTTATCCCCAGAAGTGGAACTGCTGGACATCAGGTCATCCTACTGTCAATTTTTTGAGGAGCCACTAAACTGTTTTCTGCAGCAGCCACCCCATTTTACTTTCCCACCCACAGTACACAGGGTTTCAATTTCTCCACATCCTCATCAACACTTGTTATCTTTGGTCTTTGTTTTCTGTGACAGCCATCTTAAGTGGGCGTGAGCTGGTATCTCATTGTGGTTTTGATTTGCATTTCTTGGATAATTAGTGATGTTGAATATCTTTTCATCTGCTTATCGGCCACTTGTCTATCATCTTTGGAGAAATGTCTATTCAGGCCATTTGTCTGACTTGTTTGGAGAAATGTCCATTCAGGCCATTTGTCTATCTTGTTTGGAGAAATGTCTATTCAACTCCTTTGCCCATTTTTTAATTGGGTTGATTGTGGTTGAATTGTTTATATATTCTGGTTATTAACCCCTTATCAGATACATGACTTGCAAATATTTTCCTCCATTCTGTGGGTTGCCTTTTTACTCTGCTGTGTCCTTTGATGTACAGAAGTCTTTGATTTATCTAATTTGCCTTTTGTTGCCTGTGCTTTTGGTGTTGTATTCAAGAAATCACTGCCAAATTCAGTGTCATGAAGCTTTTCCCGTATGTTTTCTTCTAAGAGTTTTATATTTTATGGTTTTAGCTCTTATATTTAGGTCTTTGACCTATGTAAATTTTTGTATATGGTATAAACGTAAGGGTGCAATTTCATTCTTTTACATGTAGATAGCCAGTTTTCCCAGCACTATTTGTTGAAAAGATGGTCCTTTCCCAGTTGAATAGTCTTGGCATGACTGTGGAACGTCATTTGACTTTATCTCTGAGAGTTTATTTCTGGGCTCTCCATTCCATTCCATTGGTCTATATGTCTGTATTTTATGGTAGTATTACACTGTTTTGATTATTGTGGCCTTATAGTAAGTTTAAAATTGGGAAATGTGAGACCTCCAACTTTGTTCTTCTTTTTTTCAAGACTATTTTCCCTATTTAGGGTCCCTTAAGATTCCACATGAATTTTAGGATAGACTAATTGTTCTGTTTTTGGAAAAAAATGCCACTGGGATTTTGATAGGGATTGCACTGAATCTATAGACCACTTTGGGTAGTCCTGACCTCTTAACAATATCGCCTCCCAATCCATAAACATAGGATGTGTTTTCATTTATTTGCGTGTCTTCTTTCATTTCCACCTTTCATTTCCTTCTGTAGTGTTCTGTGCACTTAACCTTTCTTTAACCCATTCCCTTCTCTCCACGTCCTTGCCCTGGGGGTCCAGGCCTACACCCACTCTCACCCAGTTCCCTCTTGGGCCACCTAATTATTGTCCAAATTGTTCAGCCTTCCCTGTTTGGATCTGTGCTCCAAGTCTCTGCTTAAAGAGCAACCCCTGAAAGGGTGAGCCTCATCACGTCAGCCCCCTGCTAAGGCCCCAGCCACTCGTACCGTCACCTCAGCAATGGCTTCCAGGCCTGGCTGACTGAGACACGCCAGTGAGATCTCAGATGTGCAGATTCCAGACTCAGCCTTTCTGGTGGTGTTTATCTCCAAAGTTCTCAGCCCTGGCTGCACACTGACATCACCTGGGGAGCATGGGTAGAGTGCACTGGCCTGCGGTACAGCGAGGGCATTTGGAAATTCCACCACAGACCAGATGGAGAGCTGCGTGCCTCCCAAGGAGGAGTCTCAGGAGTCTCAGACACAGTCAGGAGCTCCCAGCCGGCCCTGCAGGCTGCAACCCAAGCCCCATAGATGAACTGACCTCCGCAGCCTTATTTCTGATGTTCTCTGTTCCGGTCTCCTCCTTTCAGCAACAGCCCAGGCAGAGGGTTTGTCATTTTCCAAACACAGCTATGCATCCATGGACATCCCACCTGGAATGCTGTCTTAACTCCTCAGACACTTCTGTTCATGGCTACCATCCACCCCTCCTGTGAACTGCTCTCATTTTGCTTCAGCCACTCAGGGACAGCTCCAGGGTCCCATCCCCAGCCCCCAGCATGAAGCCCGGCCCATAGCAATGCAGGAATCACCCTGGTGCCATTCACCAAACACCCCAAGCCCTTTCCTTCCTCTGAGCTCTCTTTCCTTCCTCTTGCTCTTCCTGCTCCGTGTCCCCAAATCCTGGCTCACAGAGTAAACTCCTATGTGTCCTGCAAAGCCCAAGTCAAACACACTCTCTGGCTGAGAGTCACCCTCAGACAGAATTAATTATCTCTTATTAATTATCCTAGACTGTGTCCCACAGTACTTTAGATACACCTTTATTACCAGACTGATAATCCCGTATTATACTCATCTATCAGTTTATTTCTCTAACTAGACTTTGAATCCATCCCTGGCAAGAGGAAAGCTACCCACCTCTCTATTCTTGGCCTCATACTGTACCCGGCAGGCAGCAGGTTCCAGATGTGTTTGAATTAACTCCCCGACCAAGCACCCTCTTGCGCCTGCAGCAAGCATGGGGCCGCAGAGTCTGTGCCGCTGGGCCAGTGAACCATCAGGCCACACGCAGTTGCAATTCACTAGGAAGTGACGAGGGACCAGGGTGGGTCTCTTATCGCCCATTTTAATGAGCACATTCCTCTCTGGTTTCAAATTCTCATTACCCTCTAACATTTGTTCAGCACCAGCAGTTTCCACATGCAGAAGCTTTTTCACAAATCCTCACTTGCTCCTCATGCAACCCTAAGCAGCATCCTGCTCTAACAACTGAGGCCGAGGAGGTTCAAAGGGACTCACGTCAAGATGGTGTAAAAGAGCTGAGGGCCGGATGTGAGGCCTGCTGCTAGCTCAGGCTGCCCGTGGACCCCAGGCGGCTGCCCGGAGTGGTGGAGGCAGGTCCCACGCAGGTGTCTCGGGCTGGAGTGAGTATGAAAGCATCAAGTCAAGCCCAACATCGTGGCCTGCTGCGTGGCTGCTGGACTCAGGTGTGTGTGCCTGCCTGGTCATGCAGCCCAACAGGGAAGTCCCCTGGCACAGATGGCAGGCTTTGCTGGAAGGCTCCCCACCCCCAATCCCACCTCCCAGCAAGTCCCAGTATTCTAATCTTGGCTCTCATCTCCAGAGCTCACCAGGAAACATCACGCATCTTGGGGCCGGTGTGGGAAAATCTCTAACTGCAACTATGGCAACTAGAGTCTTGGCTTGTAGAATACTTAGGACCTGGTGTCTCGGGTGACATGCCAGAAGGCCCAGGCTCCTGGATGTGCCCCATTCCCGTGATTTCTAAATTTAAAACTCCTGCCAGAGCTTTGGGCCTTCCCCACCACTGGTCTCTACTCCCAGTCCAGTCCCTCACTTCCTCTTCCCGTCTGCCGGCCACTCAGGCCCTCACAGGACTGGGAGGACATTTAGGGGGCAACGCTGAGGCACCAAGAGATGCTGAAGCCCTGATTTCCGCCAAGAGACAGCTTTAGCACTCTGATTTTCATCCGCTGCACAAAATGTAAGTCAGACCTTGACCACATGTGTTGGAGATAAAAAGGTGAATTTTCAGGATTTGGACTGATAAAGTCACCTGTCAGAAAAGCATCAGGACCAAAGAGAAAAGCCCTAAATCTGAGAGAATTCCTGAGATGTAAGCTGACCTTAAAAGCAACTCATTCATCCATCTCGCTGCCTTAGAAATCCAGGCAAAAGCCAAAAGTCTATCACAAAAAAAGTGAAGTATTAACGACAGAGCCAACATTAATCTGACATTAGTATGTCCTTCTGAAATCTCCCAACTGTTGCCTCATTTGGTCCTTACAGCAACCCACACAAGTAGGAAAGACAAGTGGTATCATCCCCGACTATAGATGAAGATACTGAGGGTCAGAGAGGTTAAGTCATTTGCCCAATGCCAGAGAATCAGACAGTAGCAAGCATGTCCTGTAACCAGGTCCACCTGCTCCTAGCTCAGAACTCTTTCTATGAAACTTTACCACCTCCTTGGAGTGGTTCAGTTCCAGTAATAGAAAAACAATTTGGTATCAGAGGCTATAAAAAGAGAGCTTTTCTTCCTAAAACAAGTATCCTTGGCACAGTGTGACCTCAGGGGAAGGAAGGAAGGATACATAAGGATTTGTATAGTCCTGTGATTCATTCCCCAGGCAACTTACCATACTAACTTTCTCTTCAAGTTCTTCTTAACTAAAAGTAACTCAAGCTGGTGTTGCAAGGAACAGGAAAGTCTAAAAAATCCCACCACCAAATGCAATCACTTCACATTCTTGCACTATCCACATTTGGAGTCACATACAGCTCCTCCTGCCCCCGGCCCGCTACTTATCCCAATATTTCCCCATAGGATAATAGACTTTCTAATGTTTGCAATCAACTAATTTGTGTATTCTTGAAGGATGGGGGCAGTTTTACTCACATCTTAGCCCTGACAGCAGGTGCTAAGTGTATATCGATCAGATGCAGTTCCGACCTTCCAGCGTTTCTGATGTTTTGTCTTACAGAGCTCCTTTGTTGATGCAGCTGGGATACCCCAGAAAGAAGACAGACAAGAGTGCAAATACAGGACAAATAGAAAGGCTGCCAGTAGCAGGGGCCCACGATGGCCCCCACCTCAGGGCAAACTCGAGGTTTACAATATCAGGGTCACGATACAACATTCCTGTTTGATTCCAACCGAGGAAGCAACACATCGAGAATGATTTGCATTCTCCGCTCCTGCTGAGCGGACCCCAGCACAGAGAGCACCATCTGGAGCTGCTGGGCCTTGCGTCCGCCGAGGCCAGGGCCCCTCCCGGCCATATTCAAGCCCCCGTGTCCCTCAGGCCCACAAGAACACAGCCTGCAGCAGGGAGGGAGCCGGGGGCTGAGCCGGAGCCCCAGCTCTGTGATCTGCGATCTGGGGAATCTTGGACATATCCGGACTTCAGTTTTTCATCTGTCAAATGAGAGGGTTGAACTAGAGAACCTGTGAAGATGCCTTGTAGCTCGCACGTTCTCTGTTTTTACCCACTGAAGCGGACAACAATAGGCGAGATCAGGAACATTGTAAAGGACTCCCATTAGACTCAGAATAAGATGCATGTTCTCATCTCCTATCTTCATCATCAAAATAATTTCCTCCTACTCTCAAACGACCAAAGACTCTCCACTGCTCTCAGAGCCACAGGGTGTTTGGACGGAGTCTCGGGGCGTGCACCGCCGGGGAAGGAAGGAGCTTCCTCTGCCTTCACAACGCTATCTAGGTGAGACGGCCAGGACCCAGCAGCATTTCTGCCTTTCCATCTTAACCTGTGTCTTGATACGCTTCTTAGGTTCTAACCCTTAAGGTTTCTCAACTGATTGTTCAGCTCCCTCAATCCTAAGGGCCTGGGCTGTGGGATCCAGCACCAGGCGGGTTCTATCAGACGCCCAGTGACCCCGGGAAAGCTGCGTGTGGCATCTCCAGCTACAGGCCCGAGGCCCGCGGTTCCCACCTGGACCCCGTCCTGCCCACCTTGCCTGCCCTCAGTCACTGCCCGGGGAGTGGCTCATAGGTTCTGACCACGGCTGAGTGGTGACTGTGGCCTGGATCTCGCCCCAAGTGGTGACGGCCTTGGCAGGCCCCTCTGCTGGGAGGCACGGGGGAGGTGCCTCTGGACAGGCCGGCCTTGCGCAATCCCCAAAACCACCAAACGGGCAATTCTTGGTACTGATGGGCGGCAGGAGGTGACCAGAGCCAGGTCAATTGGAGCCTTTGAAAAACATTCATGTTATATAACCACTCTCAGAAAAATAAGGAACAAATATTGAATCACTGGAACCAGGCAGCAGGGGAGGGCCAGTGGCCAAATCCGGGAAGGCCTAAGCTCCACTCTCAGAGAAGTTCCAGAGCCATTTACTTTCCACAGAGGACACCGTAGTTTCTCACTACAGCCTAAGCAACTTCCTGATGTCAAAAGAAACATCCAACTGTTTTTCACTCCTATGGCCACCCTTCCTCCCTGGCTCCCTCACCTGGTGGTCCTGGTTCCCACAACCGCCTCGGGGCTCCCCTTCCCCGCCCCCCAAGGCCAAGGACCCTGGCCTGGCAGCCTGAGCCTCCCCTGGCTTTGAGGAAGTCCCCTGCTCCACCGTATTCCCAGTTCCTCGTCTGGCCCGAGGCCACCCGGGGCTTCCCTAGCTCCATATCAGCACCAGACATGAAACTCTTTTTGCTCAAAACCAAGTAGCTGCAGAATCCCTGGCCCGGAGTGCCCAGGAGACCTCGACCCTCCCCGCAGTTCTGCATTCACGTCTTATGTGGAGCACGCCCTTTAAAATCCAGGAACCTCCACTTTCCAGTGTGTAAAAGGAGGCCATCATCCTTCTTATCACGGGCTGGTGGGAAACGAGACCAGAGGACGTCATCAAAGGCCCTTCCCGCGGTGTGAGCCCCCGTGGCACTGGGCATGGCGAGGGCCGCTGGCCGAGGGCACACTGGGGCCTGATGATGAAGGCTGTGGGGAGCAACAAAGGCATCATCACCAGGGCAGCCAGGCCCCTCATGCGGCTCCCGCGGAAGCCAGGGCAGTTGCTCACACTCAACCAAGGCCTGAGATCGGGTTTCAGAGGCTTCTGCAAAGACACTGGCTGTCCCCCTTATAATTAGAGAGCTGTCTTTATCCCGTTCCCAAGGTGAAAGCCAAGATGATTCATGACTTGTGCACGGCAGTTCTAAAGAGGATCACAGCATGGCCGCTGCCAGAGTCTCCGGCTCTGTCCTCGTGCAAAGGGCAGCCGAGCCTTTCCTTGCCCACTCCGGGCAGCCTTTACTTGACCAGAGCTCCATGGAAGCTTGGAGGGACCCCACTGGCCTCCTCACGTTGTGGTGGAGGATGCTCTGCAGGGGCCAACAGTGCCTCTTCTGACCAGCTGGGGGTGGCCATCCTGACCGTCCTGACCTCAGGGGCTTGTGCTGTGGGATTCCTGAGAGCCCCTTCCTAGTTCAGGGCCCCAGGGCAGCCTCTTACAGGCAGCTGCTCCCAGGCCAGGTTGAGTCCAGCCTCTGCTCATCACACATGCTTGTCTTCTTCCAGCCTGTCTGAGATCCCCCAGAAGGAGGGAGAGTGGGGGGCAGGGGCAGCACCTAGAGGGACAGGTTGGGTGGAGGCTACAGGAGTCTGGGTCAGCTCCCAGTTCATGAGGAAGGAGGCAAGTACCTGGGAGGCCCCGGGACATGCAGGTTGGGGGGCGCATTTGCATGGTCTGTGCAGCCGTCTCCTCGAGGACCAGCAGCAGGCAGCCTCCCAGCTCCCTTCCAAGGGTGTGGCCTGGGCTGCAGGTTGCCGCCTCCATCCGGAGTAGCTGCGGTCTTCACAGGTGGCACTGCGGGCCCCAGCCAGGGGGCAGGGGAGGGGATGTTATGGGACAGGGAGCGCTGGGCTCCACTGACCACATCCCATCGTGGAGTCAGTAACGGTTAATTTGATGTGTCAGCCTGGCGAGGCCATAGCACCCACTGATTCAATCAAATACCAAGCAGGTGGCTGCCGTGGGCGTATTTGCAGACGTGGATGACATCTACAGTCAGTGACTTGAAGTGAAGCAGATCATGCTGAATGATGTGGGTGGGCCTCCCCCAATCCGCAGCAGGCCTGAAGAGGGAAAACAGAGGGTTCTGGAAGGGGAAATTCTGCTTCATGATTGCAGCATCGACTGCCTGAGCTTCTAGTCCGTCTGCCCAGTGGATTCGGGACTTTCCAGTTCCGACCAACGCATGAGTCAATTCTTTCAAACAAATCTCATATATATATATATATATATATATATATATATATATATATATATCACGATAATATGTATATGTAATCATGTTATATACATTATATAGAGTTAATATATTATGTGATTATATCTCAATATACATATTAAGAAAAATATGTATATTAAGGAGATATAATCACATAATATATTAACTTAATATATTTTCTTAGTATACATATATTAAGAAAAATAGGAGATCTATATGCTTGGATCTCTAGTCTTGGTTCTCCTTCTCTGCAGACCCCTCCTAACACAGAGCCCTAGGCCCCCTCACCCGAGCTGGTGGGGACAGACATGGGGAGAGTCCAGGGTAAAAGCAGGCCGCTGTTTGGAAGCTCTCAGCCTTCGCTGCATAGACGGATGGGTCTGCTCAGTCATCGGGTGGGCTCTCCGCCCACACTGTGGCTCTCTGTCCACACTATGGAACCCTCACTTTGCCCAGGGCCCAGTGAGACACCCACAGGCCCCAGCTGGACGAGAGGACAAAGACGGATGTGAAGGGCCGTTGTCCTGGCAGTGCTTAGAGAACAACAGGAAATGGCCAAATGTCCTCCTTTGACTGTCAGGGAACATTCACAGTACGTGAAGGGCAATCACAGGTTTAGAAAAGCACCACGATCACCTCCTAGCCTCGTCTCTGAGCCTTGGCAGCAGAGTGGGGCAATCCTCTTGCCTTCGCACGCTGGGTAACAGTCGTGCAAGTGTCTGTCATGGCATCTTGTCACCCTGTCCTGTCACTGAGGGCCTGTCTCCTGCCACACCCAGTTGGAGCTCGGCAAGGACCGCGTCTTTTTCACCCCTGAGTCACCGGCTCCTCCCAGGGCTGGATTCCATGAGCCTCTGTCCTTCCCCTTCGCAGAGCTGACACGGGGAGAGTGGTCATAAGCTGGGGCGTAAATGACTGAGGACGGCCCGGGGGCCAGTAAACACCAAGACCTCGGGATAAGGGAATGACATCCTGATGCGCCACCTCCAGCCCCTGTACGGAGGGAACAGCCCTTCATTTCTAGGACTGTCTTCAGCTCTGACATTATGATTCTACCAAGACAGGGTGTGAAAAGGCCAGCTCTGGGGTTCTGGGGAGGTTTTATTGGCTCGCAAATAAAATGCCAAACCACCAGCCAATACCAGCATAGAGCCCTCCGTGGGCACTACCGACTCAAGGGAAAGGCCCCGAGGCCCCACACCCGGCCCGGCCAGCCAGCTGCAGACACACCCTCCAGTCATCGGCCACCCAGACTTCAGAGAGGAAAAAACCAGCCACGAGGTGAAAGTGAGATGGCCCCGGCCTGACCTCTGCTGCAGAGGCCCAAATGGCCCTGGTCAGATCTGACGCTTCCCCCACAGTCAGCTTCTTGCCACCCCCCCCACCCCCCACCGCCGCCTGGTGCTCCCCACCGGGTACACACCCAGCGGTTTTGGTTAGTGCTTGAAGACAAACTGCAGGAGGGACACCATGAACTACAATAAAATTGGGCACCCTGGGGACATTTTTGTAAGGTCACCGAGTTGCTGGCTGGCTCTGAGACACACCCTCCTCTACGTAGAGGACCTTGTGTGAGAGAGGACACCTCTGAACGAGGGCTCAGAGACCTCATTTCTGCTCCCAAACAGCTACCCAAGATGTGGCTTTGGGCTTTGGCCCAGAGCTGAGGCCTGCAAAGGCTGCCACCTCAGTGCTTCCAGAATCTCAACTGTCCATATTTACAGAGCCATACATCAAAAGATTCTTCCCCAACACTTTCTACGGGTACCCAAGGACTCCTTCTACTCCATCTTGTTTCACCCACCTGCTCTGTGCCAGGCACATTATAGATCAAAAGGTACAGGGAGTTCAGAGGAAGGAGGAAATACCATGGACTTAAAAAGCAAGCCAGGGCTTCCCAAGCCAAGCATAGTGAATAGAGGAGCTTTCATTTGTCTCCTCACTTCCATCCCGGGGTGAGCCGGCCACTCCCGCAGCATCTGGCCACGGCTCTTCACACTGACAGTCCCAACTTGTCAGTGGATTATGAAATCAATTTAGTGGATTGCACAACCACCAAAAACTGAATTACAATAAGAATGTATCTCATGGTTGCATGAAGCCTGTGTCTCAATGATTCACACACACATAGAATAAAATGTACTTTGTTTGTTTGTTTGTTTTTTCCCCTGAGACAGAGTCTTGCTCTGTCATCCAGGCTGGAATGCAATGGCACAATCTCGGCTCACTGCAACCTCCGCCTCCTGGGTTCAAGTGATTCTCCTGCCTCAGCCTCTGAGTAGCTGAGATTACAGGCGCCCGCCACCACGCCTGGCTAATTTTTGTATATTTAGTAGAGATGGGGTTTCACCATGTTGGCCAGGCTGGTCTCAAACTCCTGACCTCATGATCCACCTACTTTGGCCTCCCAAAGTGTTGTGATTAGAGGTGTGAGCTACCGTGTCCGGCCTGTTTTTTTGTTTGTTCGTTTTTTGTTTTTTGAGATGGAGTCTCACTCTGTCGCCCAGGCTGGAGTGTAGTAGCGCAATCTTGGCTCACTTCAACCTCCGCCTCCCGGGTTCAAGCGATTCTCATGCCTCAGTCTCCCAAGTAGCTGGGATTACAGGTGTGAGCCACCACGCCCGGCTAATTTTTCTATTTTTAGTAGAGATGGCGTTTTCCCATGTTGTCCAGGCTGGTCTTGAACTCCTGGGCTCAAGGGATATACCTGCCTTGGCCTCCCAGAGTGTTGAGATTACAGGCATGAGCCGCTGTACCCAGCCTGAATAAAATGTACTTCCTATTGTGTTGTGGGTGAAAAAGTCTGAAAAATTCTGCATTAGATAAGCTTTGAAATCATGCAGGTAGATTTCAGGGAACAGAGAAGAGCTGACCTTCTGTCCCCGAGGTGTCACCAGAAGTGTGGAGCAAGGGGTACCATCTGTCCTCCTCTCCTGGCTGAAGCCCTCTGACCCCTCTCCGTACTTTATGCCCAGAAATACACATGGAGTTAAGAACACAGAACATCACATCTCTTTATTACCACAAGGGTGTGGTGATTCCCTCCCTCCTCACCTCTCACCACCACCCCCATCTGCTCCTCCCCTGGCCCTTTGACATGCAGGGTAGCTTGGCCTCATCCCCAGGCCACCGCTAGACCCAGAACAGCAATTACACCTTTGGGGACAACCACCAGCCCCAGCCCCCTGCCGAGCGGTGCCTGTCAGCTTCTGTTCCCAACTGGCCCGGGCCTGCTGCGGGTGCCCTCACCTCTAGCGCCTAAACCCAGAGAACTGGGCAGTCACAGGGTGTTAGGATGGAAATGGCCTCAGAAATTCTCCAAGGCCCTTCTGTTACAGGTGGGGTAACAGATGTCCAGAGATTCAAGCAAGTTGCTCAGAGCCACATGGTAGAGCCGTGACTCAGCCAGAACCAAATCCTGGTCTTGCAACTTCTAACCAAGGTCCCTTTTGATCATGTCATGCTCTTATAGCTGCTTCTGACTTTCTAGCTTGTGTTTCCACTACATAAGCTGGTAACAGTAACTCTTACAGGATTGCAACGGGCTGGCCATCCCTCGCACGGGCCTGGCTATACTGGGCACATAGCAAATGTTCTAATTCTATGAAGCCACTTGGGTTCTGCGGGCACCTTTGCATCTTGTCTCCAGCGACAGCACAAAGCCCGTGCTCCAACTCCCTTTCTGGTGTCATTTATTGTACATGAATCTGTGACTTCCCCAGAGCCCTTCAGTCTGTGATCCCAGCCACGCAGGCGGCAGCCGCTCCAGGAACTTCCCAGGAACCATGGAACCTGTCGTGTCCTCCAGACTGACGGGCGCGGACACTCTGCATGGAGGGGCTCCAGATGCCACCGGCCAGCATCTAGCATCTAGCCAGCAGCGATGCATAAAGACCAGCCAGGTCAGGAGAAGGTGTCTGCTACTCCCCATTCCAGGCCACACCGCCAGGGCCACGCTGCAGGCAGCTACCAGATAGGACATGAAGGTGCCTGGGAGGTATGCCGCCCCCTCCAGAACCTCACACCGGCCAAAATCCCTCACGGGTGGGCTAACAACACTCACAACAACCACACTGCTAGCTCTTTTAAAATTTTACTTTTTAGTCTTTTTATAAGTTTAATTCTTGTTTAAAAAGATAAATTGAACCTCTACCCCCTCAGTGAGGCAGGCCTGGATCTAGATTTCTGCCTAACCAGCTGTGTCATTTGAAAGTCGCCTCACGGGCCGGGTGCGGTGGCTCATGCCTGTAATCCCAGCACTTTGGGAGGCCGAGGTGGGCGGATCATGAGGTCAGGAGATCGAGACCATCCTGGCTAACATGGTGAAACCCTGTCTCTACTAAAAAATACAAAAAATTAGCCAGGTGTGGTGGCGGGCACCTGTAGTCCAAGCTACTCGGGAGGCTGAGGCAGGAGAATGGCGTGAACCCGGGAGGCGGAGCTTGCAGTGAGCTGAGATCACGCCACTGCACTCCAGCCTGGGCGACAGAGCGAGACTCTGTCTCAAAAAAAAAAAAAAAAAGAAAGTCGCCTCCCATCTCTGGTCGTCAGTTTCCTCCTCTGAGACAGGAGGTGTCTAGACTCAACCCCTCCAGCTCCTCCAAGGCCTTCCCAAAACAAATTCTGTTCCAGGCCATCCCACCTCCCAGCACCGCAATGACACTCCTCCTTCGAACACATCCAGGTGGGCCCCAGGGCCACGCTGGTCACTGCCACCTGGTGGGTACAGCCTGTGTTCAGGCCCCAAGGCATGAGCAGTTCCAGGACAGAGGCAGGACAACCACCAAAGGATGTGATGGCAGCCAGGGCTTGGGTGAGGGAGGGAGGGAAGGGCAGGTGGTGCACAGGGGATTTCTAGGGCGGTGGAACCGCTCTGCATGAGAGTGTAATAGTGGACACACAACATCACACACACGACATCACACATTTGTCAAAACCCACAGAATGTACACCACCAAGAGTGAGCCCTAATGTCAGCTATGGACTTCGGTTAACAATAAGGTATCAACAGAAGCTCAATGGTAACAGAGGTGCCACAGTAATGCCAGACGCAGACAACAGGGGAGATTGGCATGGGGGCTGCAGGGTCAGGGAGGGGCAGATGGGCACCCTCTGAACTTTCCGCTTCAGGTTCTGTAAACCTAAAACTGCTCACAAGTAAAATCCACTAAATTTTTAAAAAGCAATAGCAGCAAATGGCCAGAGATGGCCTCAATTTCATCTGCCAAACAACTGCCCATCACGCCAGGCCTGGACCACCCACCCAGCTCCTCAGAGATGCTGGAGGTCATAGGTTCCCCAGGAAATGGGAACTGGAGAGGTCAATTCTTCCTGTATCCACGGCTCCAGGTCCTTCTAGAACACAGAGAAAGGTGCATGCCATGCTCCCAGGCTCAGGGTCAGAAGATTAGTGGGATCCAGTCTGAGGCTCAGCGCTCAGACCAAGAAGATAAATGAGACCAGAGACACTCAGAGATTAAATACCTTGCTGGGGCTGGGCAGCAAGGAAGCTGGGAGAAGGGTCTGAGAACCCAGGTCCCCATCTCTCAGGCCCAGGCCCTTGGCCCCCAGGCTGGGGCAATGAGGACCAAGTACAGAGGGCTCCAGATGGAGGCCAGGGACCAGCTGCAGGCACCAGGCAGCCTCAGAATGTCTGGAGCTGGGGGACCCCTCACAGGGCTCGCTGGGCAGCTGGTTCATCGGGGAGACTACGTGGTGCAGAAAAGCTTGAGTTTCTTGGTTGGGGACTCAAGGCTGCAAACCACGGCGCTAATGAACCTAAACAAGGGAATTTGCTAGGTTTTCTTATTTTTGGTGTTTTGTTGCCAACAAACTCATTCTGTTCTAGAGGGGCTTGTTATATAAGGAGGAGAGGGAAGAAAACTGCTGAGATGTGAGGCCAAAGTCACCAGAGGAGGAGAGACTTCCAGATCAGCTGCTGCGCCAGCTGGGAGTCAGGTACAAAAAACAGGGGGTTGTTTGCGTCTTTGTTTTTTCAAACAAGAAAAAGCAAAAAGCCTGCATCGCATGTCCTAGGAATGGGGTTAAAAGTCGTCGTCTCTTGGGACAGAGTTTGGACGCCTCTGTGAGCAGGGCCTGGTCACTGAGGTGTCCCTGACTCGTGTCCTGTGTGCAGGATGGAGTCTCCATGCAGCCCAAGCCTCTCTGCAGGGCCTGGTGGCTGCTGAGAGGCAGAAGGAAACCCCTCCCTGAGTGTGGCCTCTGCGTGTGTCACCTACACCTGTCAGAAGGGTTTGGGATCTTTCTTTCTCATGGAGAAAGTGCAGAAGATTCTGGGTCAGGCCCTGTGGGACATCCCTAGAGCCAGAGGACCGTCCCCTTTGTGTAGTTTGTCCCTGGCATTGCCAGTGCTTCTGGTTTCACTCTTGGTTCTCAGCAGTGGATCCTAGAAGCCCCCTGGATCATGAACTTCTGCCCTTTGCACTCATGAGGCCCAGGGACACCTCCCTCTGCTTGTGCAACACGAGGCTGCCACGTCTCAGGTCTTCGTGCCCAAAGTGAGTGGACTCTGACCTTCCAGGATGGCCGAGGGTGCCAACGTTTCCCAAAGATCTGTTTTCAGACTAATCTGGGAGACAGCCTTTGGAGAGGTCCGTGAAGAAGAAAGGGGAACTCCACAGGTGGAGGGGAAACCGAAGCTACCTGAGGGATACTCCCCACGGCCCACCTGGCCCCCTCTTAGTCTGCACTGCCCTATTTTCATGGCTTAAAGGGCAGAATCAAAAGATCACAGTAGGTCAGTTCTCCCCAGGCTATCTGTGTGCCCAGCCTAGAGAAAGGAATGAACATTGAACAGGGACCTGCTGGCTGAAACCTTCAGTGGTTGCTTCCTGCCTGCAGAAGGTGTCGGACTCTGCCTGGCATTCAGTGCACCCCAGGACACAGCCCTGGCCTCAGCCTCTCCTTTCTCCCACACCGCTCTTCTGCAGCAGCCACCTGACCTACACGCTGTCCTGGGACACCCTCTACTCCTCTTTAATCCCCCCGTGCCAGCATTCCTCAAAAAAGGGGGCTCAGGACTCCCACAAGGTTAAAGTTATCATAGACATATATATGATATATATATAAGCAATATGATATATATATATATTTTTTTTTTTTTGAGACAGGGTCTCGCTCTGTTGCTCAGGCTGGAGCGCAGTGGTGTGATCTCAGCTCACTGCAACCTTCACCTCCTGGGTTCAAGTGATTCTCCTGCCTCAGCCTCCAGAGTAGCTGGGATTACAGGTATGTACCACCATGCCCAGCTAATTTTTGTATTTTTAGTAGAGATGGGGTTTCACCATGTTGGCCAGGTTGGTCTCGAACTCCTGACCTCAAGGGATCTGCCTGCCTCAGCCTTCCAAAGTTCTGGGATTATGGATGTGAGCCACTGTGCCTGACCTAGATAAGTGATTTTAAAGGTAATAGCTGGGGAGCCGGAATTCCTTGATTCTGATGATTTGCGATTAAAACACTTTGTATAGGAATTTAAGGCGATCTTTATCATATTGGGGTTCAAGGACAGCCATCAGTAAGAAATTTTCTCCCTTCAAAGGGAGGCTTGTTACAAAATTTGAGCAGCAGTGGCTCACACCATTCCTTCCTACCTCGAGTGTCCTGACCCTTTTTCTCTCACCCATTTATATCCTACTCATTCTTCAAAAACTAGCTGATTCCCACAAATTTACACCAACTTTTCTGAGCAGTCCAGTTGAAAATGATATCCTACTCCATTGCATTTTAATGCCTAAGAATTTAAAATCAGTCACGTATTACCCATTTGCTATTTACATATAAATTGTATCTCTGTATAGATTGTGAGGACTCTGAGAGCAACGGCTATATTATCCAGCTTGTTTTTTTTTTTTTAAGAAGTAAATTCATCCAGCTTGGCCAACATGGTGAAATCCCATCTCTACTAAATATACAAAAATTAGCTGGGCATGGTGGTGGGCGCCTATAGTCCCAGCAACTCAGGAGGCTGAGGCAGGAGAATCATTTGAACCTGGGAGGCAGAGGTTGCAGTGAGTTGAGATCGCGCCACTGCACTCCAGACTGGGCAGCAGTGCGAGACTATGTCTCAAAAAAAAAAAAAAAAAAAGTAAATTAATAGGATTCAAAAGTCAAAACATAACAACCTGTAATTGAAGAGTCATACCCTTGGCCCAGCCATGCCATGTCCCCAGAGGAACCACTTTTAGTTGCGTAGACAGCTAGGGTTGCTTTATGCAAATGCAAATATGAAGGCTGTTCCCTGTCTCTTATCTGTTTTGCTCGTGTCTTACTGCCTCGCCTATCTGGGAGATCTTTCAATATCAGCACGTAGGGATTTGGGGGTATCCACGTCATATGCTTTTGTCTGGAATGCTCTAGTTTAACCAGTCCCCTGTAGGTGACGCAGGCTGCTTTCAATCTTTGGCAATTACAGAGAATTAATACAATAAAAACTTGGTCCATACTTCATATTTCCAGCATAAGTTCCCAGAAGTGTGGCTGCTGCTTGCAGGTCAGTGCATTTATTATTTCTGCCACGTGCAGACAGGGGGAAGGGCCCCTTATAAAACCAACAGATCTCGTGAGAACTCACTATCACAGAACAGCATGGGGGAAACCACCCCCATGATTGAATTACCTCCACCTGCTCTCTCCCTTGACATGTGGGAATTACAATTCAAGAGGAGATTTGGGTGGGGACACGGATGTCACCACGAGCCCTCCTCAGCATTGGACAGTTTGCTCTCCTAACTATGATGTAGGAGAGTCTATTTCCCGCACTGACTCACCAACAGGCTATTTTGTTCAACACCTGGACTTTTGCTGGGTTGGTAAGACGTGGCATCTGTGTAACCCAAATTGACATTTGTTTTCTTTATTCCGTGGTGTTCCATCGCGGCACAGAGTCGGCACTTGAGGTGGCATCCTGTGGAACTGCTTCTCAAACTGCACGTAGGACATAGGTCATAAAATCCACTCAGGACACACAGGTTTTGTTGCGGCTGCTGTTCATAGAACAAAACCAGAGCTCCAGGAGTTTTCTGGGATGTCTATATCCAATAGGTCATGATGTGAAGTTCCTCGCCGTGGCTCACTGTCAAAGTCTGAAAGCCGCTGCGGAAGTGGCTCAACGCATGGCAGGCACAGGGGCTCCATGGGGTAAGTAGCCCACAGGACAGCCACTAGGAATGTGGTCCCTCCCTGCATACATGTGCTGTCTCCTGTTGAGTGGGCGAATCTGTTCCTCCATCCTTGAGTTGGGGCAGCTGTGCTCAACAGAAATGCAGCAGAAACCACACCACCTGACTTCTGGGTTAGGTGAGAAGGAACCTCGCAGTTCCTCCTGGATCTCTTGTAATGTCTGCCGCGGGTGAAACCAGCTGCCACGTTAGGAATCTGCACCAAGACCACCATGTTATGAGGAAGCTCAAGCCAGCCACGTGGAGAGGCTGCACGGATGGAGAAACAGCTGCACGGCCAGCCCCAGGGAGTGATGTGAGAGTGAAGGAGCCTCTAGGATGTGCCAGGCTCAGCTGCCACCTGACTTTTCAAATAGGAGGAACCCCCAGTGAGAACTCAGCTGAGCCAGATGACTCCTAAATCCATGAAAGATGATTTCAAATCATATTTTTAAGTTTTGGGGTGGTTTGTTATGTAGCAATAGGTGATCTTGTGACTATGTAACCCTGGGAAAGTTACTTCATTTCTCTGTTTTTTAATCTAAAAACTGGGAATCATGGGAGTTCCTACTGGAAAATGAGTTAACATATAGAAGTATAGAACCACATATGAGTTAACAAAGACATGGCTGTGATGCCTGGGACTCATTTGGAAAACATGAGTTATCACTTTAAAATGCTTCACTGAGTTTAGAGGCAATATACTATGATTACTGAACCCAGGGACACTACAGATTCTTCCTTCTCAGAGCTTTGATGAGAGGAAAGAGGCAGATTCCACCTTACCTTCAGGTTTGCCAAGATCCTTCCCCAACGTACAAGTGAAAGGGAGCTCAGGAAGGCAGAATGAAGGGACACATCAAATCCTTGGTGACAAAGTTTAGGACAGGCTGGGCACAGTGGCTCACGCCTATAGTCCAAGCATTTTGGGAGGCCAAGGCAGGCTGATCACCTGAGGTCAGGAGTTCTAGACCAGCCTGGCCAAACCTGTCTCTACTAAAAATACAAAAATTAGCTGGGCGTGGTGGTGGCCGCCTGTAGTCCCAGCTACTCAGGAGGCTGAAGCAGGAGAATCGCTTGAACCCGGGAAGCGGAGGTTGCAGTGAGCCAGGATCCCACCACTGCACCCCAGCTTGGGCGACAGAGCGAGACTCCGTCTCAACAACTATGACAACAACAAACAGTTTGGGACAGAGAAAAATCCCTGTAAACTTCAAGCCTTTTGGGGTGCTCTTGGGTGAACTCCTAAATTGCTCAAGGGCTAACTTCCTCATTTATTATTAAAAGAAAAAAGAAAAAGGCAGAGGCCAGTGGTGAAGGCTGGCGATTTCTGGTCTAGGGTGAGAGATAACAGAAAGTAACAATGGAGGCTCTCGCAGTGCTCGCAGGCACTCAAGGAACGGAAAGGAAATTGCACATTTCACCCGTGACTGCATAGGCAAACGAGAACAGCAAGTCTCTGCTTTCAGCTGGAATGTTATCAACTTCGGTCACGCTGATTATCTCAGGCTGATCAGGAAGGCTGGTACCAGGAGTGAGTGACTAAATGAAGAAATTACTAATTAACAAATGCTTGGGTGGACAATCCTTCAAAATTTAGGATCAATGGGAGGAGACAGAAGGAGTCTTGGGAGGATTTTTAAAATATGCCAGAGCTGGCTGGGTACAGTGGCTCACACCTGTAACCTGAGGACTTTGAGGTGGAGACGGGCAGACCACCTGAGCTCAGGAGCTCAAGACCAGCCTGGGCAACATGGCAAAACCCTGTCTCTACTAACACTATAAAAAGTTAGCTGGGCGTGTTGGTGCATGCTGTAGTCCCAGCTACTCAGGAGGCTGAGCCACGAGAATCGCTTGAACCTGGGAGATGGAGGTTGAAGTGAGCCAAGATCGCACCATTGCACTCCAGCCTGGGGAAAAAAAAAAGCCAGGCCTCCTAATGTACTCATTTAAACATCACTTGTGTCCACCTGGGTTCAGAATTGCGCTGGACATGGGATACACAAAGGTAAGACATGGACCCACCCTCAAGTCTGAAGGTGGAGGTGGGGAAGGGCAGAGGCTGTAAAGGGTCAGAGGGACCTTGTGGAGTGGTGGAAATGTTCCAGATCACACTGTGGCGGTGGTCACATGACTGTGCACACTTACGACAACCCATCTAATTGTATACTGTCAGTCAAAGGGCATTATATGTAAATCACACCTCAATAAAGCTGACCAAAAAGTGGCCAGTCAGCCACCAGCAGACCCATGGGATAGGGGAAGAAAAACAAGCAATCTACAGAACGTGGGAAAATGCCTATATTAAGAATCCTGGAATACTCCATGTGCTTTTTCATGCAGCGGGAGTGGAATTTTCAGGAAGCAGCTGTGCTGTGGGTGACGGTCATACTTTATTCTCTAAAACTCTCCAGTTTCAATTGGCCTCTTGGTGCCAAAGCACCATGGCGTGTTACACCTATCAGATCGGGCACACTGCCCCTTCTTCCCAACCTACGAGCTGAAATGGCCAGCACTGCGCCTTCCAGAACCCAGCGTAGATGCACAGCTGCCACGGAGGTAGGAAGAATGATTCGTTTGCCACCAAAAGCCCAGTTTCTCCAACAGGTAAGTCCCAGCAGGGTGCGATGTCCCAAACCTACACAACCGTTTCCACTGCCTATTCCCGGGCCCCTCACTTGGGTCAAGGCAGCATTTCAGAGGAAGCCAGGAGCGAGAACTCGTGCATCCGAACCCTTCTCTGACTTGGCGGGTTATTGGATTAGCTACTCTCAGAAGACCCAAAAGGCATAGGGGAGAGAAGAGATAAATCTGGATGCGGTGGAGACAACGGCCAAACAGAAAAACCGCTTGGAGAATAAAAGTCGGGGGAAGCCTGTAGTGGGGACGCTAGACTCAAGGGAAGGCTCTGGAGGAAGGAAGAGGCTAAAGGCATAGTTTCGTAACCCCTCCCTACAAACTACCCCCTTTCCCTCTGCCCAAGTGAGCACAGGGACCGCCCCGCAGCAAGACGACGGCAGATATTTAAAATGTGAGGAACCCCGGCCACAGCGGGCGGGGCTCCCCACCCATCACCTAGTGTCCTCACTCACTGCACTCCAGACTTTGTCAAAGTGGTGGCAGCTGAGTCCAGCACCAGAGATTGGTGATGCTCGGGTTGATTTCATTGTCAAGTGCATCTGGCAGGACTCTAGTTTGTCGACAGTATTCCAGACAAGGTGTAGCTGGCTGAACCGCAGTGCCTCGGCATTTGGGACCATTGAAAAATACTCTGGATTCTTTTTTTTTCTTTTGCAATTGCACAAGGATTTACTTATCTCTCTTCATGGGTGAAACTGATTTGGGGGGAAACTGCTAGACTCAATGACCAGTTGGACTGTAGGCAAGAAGGCCCATGATTTTGTTCCTCAGATAAAAGAGCAGCAGGGAAACAGGAGGCCTCTCTCCTGCAAAGCTGGTCCAAAGTGCACACAAGGCATGGCTGAGCGCCTGGTGATGCACAGTCAGCAGACGGGCGAGACCCAGGAACGTGTACTGTAACAAGAGAGTCTAGTGCAGGTTGTTGGGGGGGCTTGAGGCTATCCGCTGACATCTTTTCTCCCCAGTCAGGAGACAGTAGGGGAGATGGTTCTCATAGATCAAGTCGGGCTTTGAGAAGGAAGGTGAACAGGAGAAAAAAAAAAATAGAGGCCTCAGAAAGCCCCTCCCTCCCAAGTCTCTCCTCACAGGCGAACCACGACAGATGGCTGCGCGGCCTGAGGGCCGGCCTCCAGGCAGCCAGGGAGGAGCAGCTGCAAGTCCTGCAGTCTGTGAGACCCCCGAAGGGTCTGGGCCAGCATCCAAGGCTAAAGCCTTGGCTATCCTAACGCCGCAGTGGGGCACTTAAAGCTCCTCACGCCCAAGCCCAGGCCTGGTGGGAGCACGGTTCTCTCCCGCGCTCCCCCTCCTCCCCACTCCACGGCCACCCTTCCTTCCAATCGTCCCCCTGGAGTTCGTGTTGGAAGATGCCAGTGAGCACGTCTCAGGGCTCTACGCCTTGCACGGATGAGTATGGGGTGACTCAGAGGGAAGGGGTGGTGGCAGATGCCTGCAGCTGGCTCCCAGCCAGGTTTGGCCATCCTGCGTAAATGCCTGCCTTGGGTCTTGGCCTAATACTAAGGGCAAATCCCAAGAGGGGTGAGTGGGCTTCTGGAATCTGAGCAATTCTGCTTTCAAAACAGGTGAATCCCTAGGCCAGCCCGGCCCCTTCCCACACACCCCTACCCCGAGACGGGTGCAGAATCAGCAGCGGGGATCATCCAGAGACTCTCGCAGTCCACGGCAGGTGTCGGAGTGGGCCTCATTCCAGAGTTGTGGTGGCCGCTCCACCTGGCGAGCTTCGAGGGGACTCCGGCAGGCGCTCGCTGTGGGGTCCTCCCACCAGTCTTCTCAGCACAGGAACGGTGCCTTCACATTGGTCTTCCGGGGCTTAAAAGCATATCATTCCTGCTTGCTCTTCAGATGCAAACTCCCCCTCCAAGGATACCTCCAGGTTCCCTGCCAGCTCACTTGACTCACATGGCAATGGTCACCGGGCTGCCTGAGCCCAAATCAAGCACCGTTTATTAGGGGGAAGCTCCGTTATCCAGAAAGCTCATCTTTGAAGAGCTACCCATTTCCTGCCAAAGTTGTGGCGGGAAGGCCTTAGGTACTAGAAAACCTTGGGGAATGGCAATTAAAGGATTATCATTCTTACTTATTTGTTTGGATAAGCAGCAATCACCCTTCGGATGCTTATTGGTGAGAATATTTCTAAAAGTGTCCTGCACATTTCCCTGCTTTGATGAATGGAACGGCAGGGCAGGATTTAACTGTCTGATGGCTACGGTTTTGGGAAAGTGCCAGAACCTCCACGTCAGCCACCCCAGAGCCACAGGCAGGGTATGAGCCACAGCAATGGGCCCCAAGAAAGAGCCCCACACCCACCATGGTCCACGGAAGACGCTGCTTACTGGCCCCGGGTTACCTGGAGTCATGTGCATTCTCCTTACATCAAGTGAAGATAATATTTTGTTTCCTTCCCACTTTTTCTCTAACACAAGCCACCCCAGTTCTCCCTTCTGACAACAGGCAAGTGGACCCTAGTAGACCTTCCAGAAAAGCCTTAGAGAGCACCCCCAAATGCTCACATTTGTCAGCTGTAATTCCACCCTCAGTTAAAACCTGATTCTCAATGTGACTTGGCCAACGCAGCTTGCAAAGCAAGAACGTCTTCATCTAAGGTTGAAAACATCAGTTGTTTGGGTTGTGAGAAAAGAAAAGCCCACAAGGTTTCCGAGGCTTGGTGCTGTTTCTCACTGTCCTCAGCTCCTGATTCTGCAGCTGGTTCTCTCTCCAAGCACTAGCAAAACCCTGCCCTAGGAGCCCCCAGACTCTGAGAGCCCATGACCAAAAAGAAAAGGAAAGCCAAGTTGGGGAAGAACAGGGGCCCCCAACTCCACAGCCCTCCACTCTGCCCAGAGGGCCCACCCTGGGCTGCCTGGAACCCCCTAAAGTTGCCACCCCCGCAACACAGTAGTGGGGCAGTTCCTGGCAGCGCCTGCAGCCCATGGGCTGGCTCTGTACCCGCAGCCCCGCCAAGCGTCTGTTATCTTATTTACTGGAATCTGCACAGCCAGGCTCTAGCTCACCGGTGACTAAGGAGCTGCAGCCATTATTACCAGGCAGATGGCAGACTCCCTAAAAGCAGACATTAAACAATAAAATGCCACCACATACCTTGCCCACAAAATAAAATCAAAACAAACACCTAAGTCTGGCTTTGCTTTTCTTCTGCTCTCTCCCTACCTCCCCTGGGTCAGAGCACAGGGGGAGAGGTGCACGGGGCACCGAGAAGGAAATTTACGATCGAGGAAGACCATACGGACATGCCCAGTGACCTTCAGAAGGTGGCAGTAGCAGAACCACCATGGGACCCCAGGTGGCGGAGAGGGCAGACCCTGTCCATGTGTGACAGGTGGGGCAGAACCACCAGCTAGGACAGGTGGGATTGGAAGAACAAAGGAACGACAGGGACCCTGCAGAACCCACAGCCCTCTCGCCTCAGTCGCCTGATGAATAGTCAAAGTGCTAAGACCTGGAGAATTCCATCAAAAACTCAGTTGCTCCCACTGCTTTGGAAGGTGTTCTGCTGGGCTCTGCCAGGACAGGCCACGGCTGACGGCTCACCTGAAGAGAGGGACCTGCTATTTATGAAGCATCTATTATGTGCTGGCAGCTGCCCCTTACTCCTGCAAGGCAGGTACTGTCTCCATTCTTAGAAGAAAAATCAGGCTCAGGAGAAGGAAATAATTTGCCCGTGGTAGCCAGGGGGTGAACAGCAGAATGCTCTGCCAGGCCCAGGCCACGAGGCCTCTGGGGTGAAGAAGGAACACCCCCCAGTTCTTGGGCATCAGGTGCTTGTGATTCCATTCTATTTTTCTCTTAACTCATAATTCAGTAATTGAGGCTAGAGCTTTGCCATCTCACATTAAACCCTTTTAGGACTCCAGGGCCTTAACTCACACTTGTGGGAAGGATGTTTGGTTCAGGCCAATGAAAGGCTTGGCTGGAAAGCCCACAAAGCTGACAGGTGTGCAGGGCTGATGACAGGTCAGTGCACTGTCCCACTGGTGCCGGGCTGCTGAGGCTTCAGGACAAGCCTGCCCACTAGGAAGGGAGGGAAGGTATTGAGCCTTGAACGAGCCACTTACCTGTAGGTCCAACCTAGGTTTCCTGCTACGTCACCAGCCCCCAACAAGAGCTAAAGGTAGGTTTTCACTACCGGACATTCACCATGTGGCTCATAAGTACAGTTGGAGGGACAACTTTGGAGTTGTCCGAGGGCCCGAGTTTGAGCTCTAGTTTGCCATTTACTGGTTATGCAATCTCAGTAAATTATTCAAATTCATGGAGCCTCAATTTCCTTGTGTAAAAGGGAAATCTCCCAGGATCATCATGAAAATTATAATAATTAACATTCATGAAACTGCCACACATGGTGCCAGATGCCTAATAATCAATCAATCAATATTTACCAAAATATGCAATACAGACAGCTAACAGCAGTGTAAGAGGTAACGTAGAGACAGATCCTTCTAAGAAATTAAGACCCCTACCTGACTGCATTAGGAGTCATCAATTGAATCTACCGACAAGAATTGAACACAATTTAATACAAAGTAATGCATAAAACAAAAGTACAGGCATTCACCTTCATTAGGCCTGGGCTGAGTCTGAGAGGAGGTAAGGGGGTTTGTTAGAAGGGGGTGTGGTGAGACTGGTCTGTGGGGCATCTCTGGGGAGGAGAGACCTGAATACTTTTAAAGGAAGAAAAAGATCTATAGTTTGAAAGAGCGCTGTGAAGGAGTTGGATAAATCCAAGATGGATTCCATTAGTTAACAGCTGAGCTGAAAGAAGAACACAAAATTAGAAGCCGCAGTTCCAGGGACCCCTGGTTATCCAACACTATGAAGTGAGGAGGTCAAGACCAAGCATCTTCCTCTTGTTGGAAAGGCCAATGCCTGGGACACAGGACTCAAGAGTTTGTTTTGCTAAAGTGCTGATGTTTAATTTCACCCTGGGACAGGACCTGAAGAGAAGCCAGAGCTGGGTAACAAACACGAAGACCAGGCTTAGGGACTGGGTCCACCCAACCTCAGTCCACCAGCCTCCGTTCCCCTCCACCACCCACCCCACTCCCAGCTTCAAAAGAACAGGCTGGACCGCAGGACACCTGGCTTCTCTTTCCAGCTGAATCCCTTTGTGACTTTAGGCAAAGAAGATTAAATATTTTAGATTTTCAATTATGTTCACTGAATTTAACCACTGAACCCTCAGTTTCCTCATTATAAGCGTGTGTCTCTCAAGGCCTACTACTGCTGGGCTGAAAAAAAAAAAACCACACACACACACCTGAGATTTATCTAGTCCTTGGAAGTTTCCATGCAAGTTGGGGAAGCAGCTGGAAGGTGAGAAACCCCCAGACCTAAGAGGCCCACAGTGAGGCCCCTCGGGTGAGTCGGAGCCTGCCCAGGGTGTGTGGAGCCCCAGGGTGCCGGCTCACTCTGACTGCGTCCCAGGGAGCTTCCCCCTCTCACTTACTCTCAACTATTCACACCTAGCAGTCCCCGAATTCTCGATTTATGTTTTGGGGCCTCCTGCCTGCATCCTGGTTGTATCCCTAGGCCTCTCCCCATCTTCCAACACCTACAATCCGTAACGCCATCAACGCTGGATTCCCTGCTAGCCCAGCCTTCTTCAATTGTTTACTATCACCTTTGCTCTCCACCTGGGTTGAAAATTCAGATGCACAGAATCAAGCCTCCCCCCAGGAGGGGGGTCAAGCGACCCCCAGGTCACTCCTAATCACCAGCACTCAAGGACCCCGAATCACAGACTTGAAGCAGACAGACAGCCTCTGGCTTACGGAAGGCGATTGTAAGGAAAAAAAAAAAAAAGGACATGGCTTACTCAAAGTGCCATGCATCAATGTCACAGAAGGGCGACAAGAGGGATGCTGGGTGAGCTCCGAATCTAGTACTTTCCAGCCTGCAGCTCTACTTGTTGCTGCAAATTCACTCAACAGTCAGGGCTTCTGGTTCTCAGCCTCCCCCTCCTCCTCTCCACCAGACAGCGGTGACAGCCCACGGTTCAGCCACTGAGGAGGCCATCTACGATCTTCTCTTCCTTCCCTTCCTCTCTCCCCCACTCCCCTCCCATCTGCTGCTTCTTTGGATTCCCCACAACTTCAGCAAGCAAGTAAGCGTTGGGCTCCACGCTCCGCAGGAGGCCAAGATACCCTTCAATGTATATGGGGTCAAGAGAGTCCCCAGAAAACTGTGGGCCATCCCCAAAGCCCCCACATCATCCCCAGTCTTTTCTGTTTGGGCCAAAGGTAATAAGTGATGACTCAGGAAGGGCAAGGCCAGGCAAAGAATGACAACTTCGCTAAGATTTCAGCTCCAGTAAGGGAAGTTCAAGCCAGGGTGGGAAGGCAGGGAGGAGACCCTGTACCCAGGACCCAGTGTGTGAGGCAGCTCTGCTCAGCCTGGCAGGGGAGGAGAGACAGACTCAGAGAGGAATGGAGCTGAACACGCCCACACACATACCACCTTCACTAGTGATGCTCTTTAAATCACCAAGAAAAAGTTATGTAAGGAGAAAACATACAGCTTCCGTGGAGAGAAGGAACATTTTGCTCAGCCTTGGGGTATCTGATTTAATAAGAGGCTCTTGGAGAACAAAGCCACAATTCAGCATCAGTCTTACACACCAAGGAGACAAAGCATCGTGAGGGGGAAAACCGCACACCCAGGGACGCACAATCACTATGCATTTAGAAAGCCAGCTCCCGCAGGTCTGCTTACTCAGCCCCAAGGGGTCCTGGAGGTCTTCTCTTCCAGATGCTAATAAGCAGTGCAGGCTTGTAAGCTGCTGGATGGCAGGATGCGAGTGACGGGGACGGGCGGCACTCCCAGCTCTGACAAATCCTGCTGCCTCACTCGAAAGGTCCATCAGAGAAGGGGTTTCCCAGCCCCTTCAGCACAGGCAATTTCTAGGGTTCGGCTGTGCTCCGAGCTGCTGCCACTGCATGTCTGCAACAGATGGGGACCGGGGCTGGGTGTGTTCCCAGTCCCCAAGGCAGCGCAACAAGCGGCTGGCAGACAGCATGGGCTGGCCTAAGACAGCGCAGGCAACGGTCTTGGTGGCTGGAGCTGCTTTGCTGCTCAAAATGCAGGCAGAGCTCGGGCAGATTCCCCCATTGACGGGACTGCAGCAAACTGTCATTCCCACCTGTGTCAGGCGCTGCTGGGGAGGAAACTCCTTACCACACAGCAAGCCAGCAGGAGGGAGGGCTGGACCGGAGCTTTTAAAAAGACAGGCAGCAGGATGGAGGGAGGCAGGAGCAGAGGCCGATGATGCAGCAGTGGACAGCTCTGGGCTCCAGGTCCTCTGGCCAGCACAACCCCTGCACTGTTCCCATCTAACTTCAGGCAAAGGCTTCAGAAATCTGAACTCCCTGGGGATTCCTGTCCTTGGAGCACAAAGATTGTGGGGGTTTTTTTCCCCTCTGGCCAGAAGGATGGGTATGGCTTTCCAAAAGGCTCTGGCAGTGAAATCCCCATTTACACTCCATTCCCCCAACTCCAACCAGACAGCCTGCAAACATCATCCAGGAGACAACATGGTCTCTGCCTATATCAGCCATGTCTCTGATTTTCTGTATTCTGATGCTTTGACACCTGGGGCCTTGCTGATCCTGGAGGGACTGCCCTCCCAGGGCTGGGCAATTCCTGGAGATAGTAAGCAACTCATCTGTGAGCTTGCTTTTCCTATGCAAGCCAACCCACACAGACCCTTCCCCTCCTCACCTCCTCCTGGGGGCTCTCACACCCCAGGCCATCACCCACTACCCAAATCACCCCAGGGCAGGTACCAGACAGCTAGGGACAGCCCCTGTACCCACAGTCCCCTAAAATTATTCACAGAAACCACAATAAAGTCTCTTGCCTGCATCTCCCCCTTGCTCCCTCTGCCTCCTGCCCAACCCCGTGCTTCCCCACGTGGCAGTGGTGTGCCTAGCCTCCTGCTTCCAGGGATCTGTGAGTATCATCAGTTCCTTCCTTCGTGACACTCATTCCTGAGTCTGCATGTCTTCCTGTACCTGATTACAACAAATCCCAGGTGCCCTGAAAACAGGCTGTGGGGCAGAAAATGAACTTGAATTGTTAGGAGAAAATGAGGGTCCCCATTTCAGAACCCCGCCGTGTCCCTCATTAAATAAAACTTGCTCA
Source organism: Homo sapiens (assembly GCF_000001405.40). Taxonomy (NCBI): domain Eukaryota; kingdom Metazoa; phylum Chordata; class Mammalia; order Primates; family Hominidae; genus Homo; species Homo sapiens. Next base: position 151,815,844 of record NC_000007.14, read on the forward strand.
GGACTTGAACTTCTCAGCAGTGGAGGAATTGCTTCCAAAGATATTGAGTGATCTGTTGCTGCAGGTATTCAAGAAAAGGAGGCTTCTTCCACGAGCCTGTGACTCAAAGGCTATGATTTAGTGGGCAAATGTGTTATTCAGGTAAGGTTGATGGCAACACAAGGTGGAAAAAGATTAATGTGGATGACGTATTCAGGAAGGCTTCCTAGAGGGGACAGAAGGGCGTTGCATGGCCATCTACTAAGGCCCACGGACAAAAAGGCGGCTGAGTCAGCTGGGACTTTGGGGGGCCTCTGTAGGGGTTGGAAGTCCGTGGCTTTCTTAAAGTCACTTTCAGCCCAGGAGGGTACCAGGCAATCCAGCTGTCCACTCAGAGACCTGACAAATCACAGGCCTGGCGTGCTGTGGCCAGATAGCTCTAAGAACTCACAAGCCTGAGCTCTGCACTTGCCTACCTGAGCAGGCCATTTTAAGCGGAAACTGTTTTTTGTTTTTTTTTTGTCCGTAGAATGAGCCATGTGTTATGGGATGTTCCTCAAGGTCCCTTTCAGACCAGAGCATTAATATTCTGTGTCAACAACCCAGGTCCAAGTCCTGGATCAGTCATTTCTCTGAACCTCAGTTCTTCCTTTGAAAAACCAAGCTGAGTGGAAACACTTGCTCTGCACACCTCCCAGGGCTGCTGTTGGGATCATGGATGAACACGCATCAGGACAGAAATAAGCATCATCCTGGGATGTGCGGGATTATTCTGGAACCAGAGGGCAGTGCTAGCATAAACCTGAGGTTTAGCAGAAAGCTGGCGCCATTTGGCGAAGATCGAAGGGCCAAACCTCCTGCAGCCTGCAGCCAGCCCCCCGGGCACCGATGCAAGTGGTCGACCAGAGATCCGGCCAATCTCAATATTTTCTCCTGCTGGTTCTGGAACTAGCCTTGCTGGGTGAGCTGGGCCTGTTTTATTTTCTGTGTGCTTTATTCCAAAGCATACATACGAGCCTGAGGAAAAAAGCCTAATTGGTTTTCCTTGGAAAAGCTGGAAATGTCAGAGAAATGGGCTCCGTCGTCTAAAGGATTCAGAGGTTTGCTACGCTTGGAGACCAGCGTTTGAGAGTGACTTATGGGGTGTGATGATGCTGTAGTTCTCACGGCAGCAATTCCACGTCTCAGGGACCCAGGATCACTCATTAGAGATTAAGGAACATAAACAACTCCACTCCTGCTTGCAAGCTGCCCACCGCAAGCACGGTCACTGTCTTCACCTGCATTTCTCCTCGCTTCCAGAACCTCCACTGCACTCCGCATGCAGGTGGCTCTGAGCTTTCCACCTACTCTCCCTGGAGGGCGGAGTCAGCTGTCTTGAACAACAGAGCCTAGTAGATCACAGATACTTAGCAAAGCCTGAAGACCATTTTGGTGCATGGGGCTGGTGTCAGAATCAGAAGTGAAAAGGCAATGCCTTCCTGAAGCACATCCCCTCGGACTCACCCGCTCTAATTCATCCTCCTAAACTCTGTTTTTCAGGCATTACTCTTAGCACCCTCACCAGACAAAGCAATAACAAAACAGAACCAGAAAACCTTCACTAGCTCCATGCCATCTACAGAACAAACCCCACTTCTTCAGCATGGGCTGCCAGGCCCACAGGAGCCTGGCCCACGGTCATCCTTCCACACCCCCAGGCTTCCCAAGGCTGTCAGGCCTCATGACCCTTGGGCCCCGCATGCAGGCACCCTCCTGACCCTAGAGCTTGGCATCCCTAGAAAGCCTAGCCCTGCCCCTAAAGCCCCTCCCTGGCACCTGTAGGTTATCACCAGGGCCCTCTCCTGGAACTCATGTTTTGAGTCTATTTTAAGTGCTGAGTATTTTACATATCCTCTCTCAACCTGCACAAAATACTGTCCATTTTATCGATAAGGAAATTGAGGCCCAGAGAAGTGGAGTCACAAAGGTTACAGAACACACAAGCTGCAAATCCAGGATTCGATCAAAGTGATGTTCCCCTCCCCAGCCTGGCTCCGTACAGCACATCCTAACAGGGCCACTGTCCCTTTATTCATTTTTGTTTATTTTTATCATCTAGTTTTTCTGTGGCTCATGCTTGTTTATTACTTGCATAATTAAGAATAAGAGGAAGATACTCACACACCACAAGTTGAGAGTCCCCCTTTACAGGTCCAGCCTATAACATCTGAAATAAACAAAGTCTGCAGCAATACGGAAAGGATCAGGTACCACCTGAGTGTGCAGAAATGGGATATTGTCAAGTATGTTCTGATAGAGCCAGACATTGGGGCCTTATGATATTACATAACAAGTCAAAACAGTGACTTCAAAGAATGACAAATGGCAAATGTGACAGGAAAATCTCAAATGATGCATGGTACTGCCTGAGCTGTGTAAGTGGCCTAGAAAACTAGACATGCATGAGCACACATGTGTAAAAGGCGTGTCTCCAGCCCCCACCCCCCAACCCCTGAATAACAGACCTGGGTTAGATTTCTCAGCATCCCAGAAATCTAGCACAAATCTTTGCCAAATCCCATGCCGCCCTCAGCCCTTCACCTAAAAGTCAAATGCTGCATGCCAAGCTCACGTCCCTGCGATGAGGCATTGCTATGCAGGACTACACCACTGCACCCCAGAACCCTGTGTCCAGAGCCAATCTCGGCACCAGGCCGGCAGGGCAGCTTGCAGAGGGAGTATCTGCAAAAGGGCTGATGGCAACTGCCCTGGGCAGAGACGCTGACCAATAAAGCCCATATTCTACCCCCCTTTTATGTGCCAATGCTGTCCCTGCCCTCACTGTCCTGCAAGATCTGTGCAGGGGAAAGCCAGAGGCCAGGGCAGCTGAAAGAAGAGGGAACCCCCTGGGCTCAAGGCCCAGCCTCATTGACCACACTTTTATTTCACTTGGGAGCTGGCAGCTGGGGATTCGGGGCACGGCATGCCACTGGCTGGGGCCAGCATTTGAGATTGACTGGGCCTGGTGGGATGTAGACGGTGTGGCATTTTACTTTGGAACCTCATTCCTATGACAGCTTGAGGCCAGTGCCCTGTACTCATGAACTCTGTGCAATATGCCAGGTCCTGTGGTTGCTTCTGAAATATCCCAATTGGGAACCAATGTGCCAAAGAGGGCTGCTCTGCGCCGTGAACATCCTTGTTGAAATTCACAGCAGAGGGCTTGTCAATCAGCTCCCTGGCGAAATGAGTGGTGTGCAGAGTGAGTCAGGAGGATGGCACAGGCTGCAGCCCCCTTGGATAAAGAGACAGAGAATCTGGCCGGCCCGCAGCCCACCCAGCCCCGGTGACCTGGACGCTATTGGTCTTCATCCTCCACCTCCGAGGACCCAGCTGCTGCATCTGCTGTTAGCTAGACCAGTCCTGCCGGTCCTAACACCTCTGGGTCCTGCTCGGAGTGCATCTGCCAGAGGGCAGCGCTGAGACTTCCTCTGAGCTACAAGAACAGGTTGGACCTGCCGCCTAAAATCGCCTATAGGGATTTGGCAAACCCTGCTCTAGGATTTCCTTTTGTTGTCATAGGCCACCAGTCCCAAGGCTGTCAGGGGGACACGCAGCCTCACCCACCTCCAGTCGCTAGAGACTGCCAATATTTACCAAAGTAACCAGATGTTTGCTGAGTGGCTGTGCTGAGATTAGATTAGCTGAGAATAGTTCGCCCCCCTGCCCCTCCCTGGGTACCTCCATCCAGGTAGAACTAATAGTTCTAAAACTGCAGGATTGCAAAGACATTTGGAGTCATTAAGACCTTGTGTCCTGATTTTAATGGAGTCTAAACAAAAACAAACCAACCCCCGCAAAGGATAACAGTTTCTCTATCTTTCAAGGCCATGTTCTGACCACCTGAAGGTCTTGAGATACTTGGGCTACTGCCTGGAGCCTTACGGGTGAAAACCGGTCCCCTGAGCCTCAAATGTGGGATGGGGCCCCAGAGCCCTCTGTCCAAAGAAGTGCCGTGTGTACTGAGTGTGCATGCAGCTCCTGCGGTGGCTGACTTGTGTTTGGAGCATGTCACCTGCCCAATCAGGGACCCACCTCTACCAAATAAGCCAGCAGGTCTATAAACGCTAAGTCATATGTGATCAATCAGTTTAAGTGACGTGCCCAAGGTCACATGGCTGTGTCCTTAGAGGGCCAAGGCTAAGACCAGGTGTTCCTGATTTTATGCCAGCACCTGATAAGGAAGAGATATGCCTATCCACTGGAAAACCGGCTGAGACTTTGTCCCGTGACCCCACAGTGACTTGTCTAACTCCAGTCTGAACAAGCTCGATGTGTGCAGGGAGCAGAAGTGAGAGGAGGAAGGACTCGCTATTCACGCCGGCAGCTGGAACCTTTTTCTAAAAAATGGTGCATGCCAAAAGGAGCTGATGGGCTTAGCATAAATTCAAGAGGGACAGGCTTAAGCATCTGTCAGAGCTTCACTCCTTCCAAGAACTTCTCTGACCTCGCTCCTACCCCCATCACGATTACTCCTCCACACCCACTGCCGTGGGCTCCTTTGACTTCCGTCATTTTGATGCTTGGGGCCCGGCCCCTGTGGCTTCTGCAGGGCACACTCTACTCGGAACACCGCTCCGTGGCCTGGCCCCTGTGGCTTCTGCAGGGCACACTCTACTCGGAACACCGCTCCGTGGCCTGGCCCCTGTGGCTTCTGCAGGGCACACTCTACTCGGAACACCGCTCCGTGGCCTGGCCCCTGTGGCTTCTGCAGGGCACACTCTACTCGGAACACCGCTCCGTGGCCTGGCCCCTCTGGCTACTGCAGGGCACACTCTACTCTGAACACCGCTCCGTGGTCTCCAACTTCACGTCTCCCACAGGGTCAATGTCCAGTCAAGGCAAGAGCTCCTCAGACCTGATAAGCAGGAGCCACTGTCTGGAGATGAGCGCCACCTTCAACAGAAGGAACTTGGCACTTGGGAAGCCCCATTTTCTTTCCTCTTCCATTTTTTAAACAACAATAAGCCGGGCTTCTCTCCTAACCCTGAGGCCCACCCTGCCCTAGCAGCTCTCAGTGGCCCATCACCACTCCCGCTCTCTCTCTCGGCACCCCGTCTCCCAGTCAATGGATATTCTTAGGACCCCCCCCAGCCAGGTACCTGCCTCATGCTGCATTGCTGGGACCCAAGAAAAGTAGAAGAGAGAGCCTCCAACCCCACGGACCTCAGTCCCGGCCAGAAGGAAAGCTGTGGAGACAGGGAACAAGCAGGCTGAGAGTCCACACAACATCGTGTGTGGCACAGACAGCAGCCACCATCATAGAAGTTTCCAGAAGGAAGGGGCTACTTTGGAAGAAAGTCTTAAAAAATAACTTCATGAAAGGAGTAAGACTGAAGCTAAGATAAGCAAGATCAGGTAAAAATCAGAGGCACTGAAGGGTCCTTGCATTTTGTAAGGCCCCAGAGCATCCTCCTCCTTTGTTCCCTAGACACACTGTCAAGGCTCTGGAAGGCTCTAGAAGGCTGTGGAAGGCTCATGGCAACTCGATCTTTCTTTTAAGCTGGGAACCAGGATTGGGCCCAGGCTTGGCACACACAGAAGGCCAACAGGCTGTAGCACAAGCCTGGCTAGTCTCAGGCAGGTGCTCCGGGGCTGAATGTCTGTGACCTAAAACAGCCTCAATGGCACTGCTGAGCAGAAGGCCCCGGGCTGCCCAGGTGGTAGAAGGCCAAGCTGTCGTTTAGCATGCACAAGGCTCCCCAATTTAATTGAAATCAACATAAACCACACTGCACAAAACCATTTTTTTTCTACAAATTGCCCTCTATAACAATGCCCCTAAGCAAGTCCTCTCTAAGACACATTGGATTCCTCGTCCTGAGCACACCATGAAGGAGAAAAATGCCTCTACTCACCCTTTGAAACGGATGCTCTTTTTCTACAGGTTCAAATTCCAGCTTTGCTTTGCCAGTGCTGGGACGTTGGCTAAGTCATTTAGCCTCTCTATGCCTCAGTTTCCTCATTTGTAAAGTGGAGTTAATAATAATTATGCCCACCCCACAGGGTTACTGTGAGGATTAAATCCGTATGTATGTATGTACATGCACACACATACACACACGCGCACATATGCACATCTGTAGGCTGAGTTTTACGGAGGCGAACAGGGCCTGAGAGCTGCTGGGAGCCAAGGATCTGGGAGGCACCCCAGTGCGTTCCAGTGCCGCGTGACTCAGGTGTCAGAGAAGCCCATTTAAAGACCTCACCCCATGACAACTGCCACTGGGGACAGATACAGAGACTCTGAACCTTAAGGCAAGGTAGGAAATGGCAGAAAGTAAATAATAGAATGTTCCAGAAACAGACACCTGCAGCCTCCTCTGGGTGGGATGATGTTCTGGCCAGGGCTGGGGCCAGAGCACAACTGCCACCGCCCTAGGAGGCCTCGAGCCCAGGAACGAGGTGGGTTCAGGAGGGCAGCAGGCCAGGGTCAAGGGCGGGGGGTGACTTTACTGTCAGCAGGCCAGGGTCAAGGGCGGGGGGTGACTTTACTGTCCCCAAGGCCTCCTTTAATCAACTGACCACGATGTACCCAGCGCTGCCTGGGTGAAGGCGCTGTGGGAGTAAAAAGGAGCAAAAGGCAGATGCGGCCCTGAAGACCCTCTGAGCCAGTCTTGGGACATGTCTCAGAGCACGCGGCGGCCCAGGTCCAGGGGCTCCCTTGGGGCTGGGCTGCACAGCTGAGACTGTGAAAAGCCAAGGGCCAGGAGGCGAGGGGAAGGCTGAGAGGAACGGTGAGCCGGCCCCGCTGCCCAGGCTTGGGCACCTGGGGCAGCTGGCCTGTGAGATGGTGCTGCTTCCAGTGGTGGCAGGTGGACAGCGTCTTCCCAAGCTCTGACAGACACGCTTAGTGCAATGGCCTTGGCTGTGTGGAGCCAGGGTCAGGGGTGCAGACCCATGTGGACGCCACCTGCACCCTGGGTCAGGTGACAGGGACCTGCCTCCACACCTCCACGTCACACTCCCTCCCTCCCCACAAAAGGTTGCCCAATGAATCCACAACACAGAATGTTCAGCCCTGATTCAAAAATGAAACAAACAAGAAAACAACCTCCAGCGACTAATCAGCCTGGGGAAGCTGAGTGGCCGCCAAGCCCGGCTCTATCACTTGAAAATCTAGGGCTCCTAGAATTCCTCCCAGCGACCTGGTTTTCAGACCCCACCCCACCCCACCCCACAGCGGAAAACGCAAGCTCAACTGCAGAACCTGCTCCCTGACCCCTGGCTTGTCACAGCAGCAGGGGCCAGGCCACAGCCGGACTCTGCCAGGCGTGGCCCCTCTCAGCACAGCCGCCTGGGGACACTCTCTATGAAGCTCAGGAAGAACAGGAAAAATGTGTATCCAGTTTTGTTGGCTACAGGGATTTTGTATCAACATTTTTTTTTCCAAAAATTGAATAAACACTAAAACTTAAGCTGAAACTTCTTAAATGTTTTAATGATTTTAAAAGAAATATCTCAGAATGCATTATACTCTGCTGTTATGGGTTAAAGTGCTTGCACCCGCAAAAAAGACATTGGAGTCTTCACTCCCAGAACCTCAGAATGTGACCTTATTTGGAAATAGGGGCTGTTGAATTTGGCCCCATTTGTGAGTGGTCACATGGGCCAGGCACCGTGGTGGGTGCAGACCCCTCTCCTAAGTCAGTCCAGGGACAAGAGAGTAGATCCCAAGGAGATGGAACCTCACTCACCCTCTGCCTAACCAGTCCTGGCCTACTGGGCCATCTGGGGGCCTCATCTCTGATTAAAATGTCAAACTCCACATCAGAGGCTAGGGAGAGACGTGGGAAGAGATGACACCCTCCATCTGTTTCTGGAAACTTCCACAGCCTGATCCTATGATCCTTTACCAGGGCTGGGCCCAGGGATGTGGGGCCCAGAGTCATTCCTGGTGGATGGGGGCTGGAAAGGAGGTAAAGTCCACCCCTGGCTAAATCATTCGTCTACCTGGAGAGAAAATTAGAACCTCTGGGGAGTTTTCAAAAACTAGATCCCAATTAAGAACTACTGAATCAAAATTGCTGGGGCTGAGAACTGGGTGATTGAAATATTCTGCTAAGTAAGAACCACTGATAGCACCCACCCACCTCACTGTAAAGACGGGGAAACAGGCATAGAGAGAAAATGGTGTGTGGGAGGCCCCCAGTTATTCTTGGTATAACTTATGGAGGCAGAACCCAAGGAACCTCTGAGAAGGGAACTGTGAAGTCGGAAATCTGAGCTTTCCCTTTAAGAAGGAATCAGCTTTTGATTTAAAGTAAACTGAGAGGCAATTCCTTGGACTTCAGGGACTCAAGGGCATGCCGTAAATCGCCCTTGGTTCAGAATATTCATAATATTCTATGACTTGGAAAGCTTCTTAGCTGGAAGCTTCGTAATTGGTTCAGGTCAAAGATCCCAGTTCAGCTTGTGTTTTGCTCCCCTCGGCTTTTCCCCACTTCCTGTCATCCTGCCTGGTTCCTGACTTCCACATTCTAAGAAGATACAGAAGTGATTGGATTATGCTGCTTGTGTTAACATCAAGGTTTGTGGAAGGTAGTGCAGATAGTTGCCGGAACTCCTAAGCCGCGGTGAATGGTATCGACTGATACTTTAAATCGTGATGAGATTGTAATGAGATCCTAGTAGCCTCTGTGTGGAGCCCCTCCCTCTAGGAGGGTTATTATCCCCACTACCCCCACCACACTTGGCTGTGTGCCTTGCATTTCCCAGAAGTGATGGGTGCCACTTCCCAGTGGAAGCTTTTGGAGCTGTCTGACACCTCTCTCCTGCTCCTCTCACAGCAAGCACCCAGACAGGAACTGCTCCTTCAGCCTGCGGTTCCCAAAATTAACAGGACACAAAGCAGAGCCCCAGCTGTCGGTGATGCATGTACAGCAGTAGCGAGAAATGCACTTCTGTCCTGGCTTGCTGCTGAGGACGTGGGGCCACTTACTACCCCAGCGGAACTCAGCCGACACTCGTGCGCTTTCTCCTGCCCCCTTCCCTCTCTTTCTTCTGAGTCTATTCCCTAATCCTAAATAAACTCAGTGTAACTTATAGCGCTTAAGAAGGTCATCTAGGCGGGGCACGGTGGCTCATGCCTGCAGCCCTAGCACTTCGGGAGACTGAGGCGGGCGGATCACGAGGTCAGGAGTTCGAGACCAGCCTGGCCAACATGGTGAAACCCCGTCTCTACTAAAAATACAAAAAAATTAGCTGGGTGTGGTGGCAGGCGCGTGTAATCTCAGCTACTCAGGAGGCTGAGGCAGGAGAATGGCTTGAACCCAGGAGGTAGAGGTTGCAGTGAGCTGAGATCGTGCCATTGTACTCCAGCCTGAGTGACAGAGCCAGACTCTGTCTCCAAAAAAAACAGAAGGTCATTTGTTGGCTTCTTTGCCCTGGCATTGCTATTTGAATCAAATTCGAATTAAAGGGCCTTTGAGAATGTAGTCCTAAACCCAAATAGGACACGATTCTTTGTTTTTCTTCATTAAATTCACTTTATATTATTCTCTGATTATGAAGACTTTGAGTATATGATTCGTACCCTCAATGATACCTTAAAATGATGTGAGGATGGGAGTCTTTTTGTATAATAAATGCTCCCAACCCTGACATAGAGCCAGACACCCAACGCATGCTTCCTCTGGCCCAGATTTAACATGCACTGGCCGCTCCCCATGCACCTGGCACCCTAGGTGACAGGGGTACCAGATGAAGCACAAGTCTCCGCCCTCCAGGGAACTCCCAGCACAGTGGGAAGAATACATTTGAAGCCTGTTTTTTCCCCTTTCATGTTAAAACAGAGAACTTCCTGCCCTGTTTGTCTCTGGGACGCTCCTCAGGCCCACATCTCCTTTCACGTCCCATCCCCTGAGCTGGACATTTGTTCAGCAAGTCCTTTCCTGAGCACAAATGCATCGAGCGAAGGGATGCCCAGCATTACAGACACCAGAGCATAAAGCTGTGTGGCTCAGAGCTAGGTCAAGCTTCCCATCCCAGCCTAAGGCTTCTTCACTCCCTTTCCTGGCCCCAATTGCCTCCAAACAAAAATCAGCAAGCAAGCCGCCAGTAGGTCCTTGGCCAGCATCCAGGGTGACCAATTAGTCTCGGTTTACCCAGGACTGTGTGGGTTTAAAACAGGAAGTCCCACATTTGAAGAAGCCCCTCCATCCCAGAGAACTGGAGCAGCTGTCACCCTAACAGGTAGAGTACCTTTTCCCCAGTTGGTATGCAAAGCTGTGCACCCACCACCGCCCTGCCCTAAACACCCCCACCCATCCATTCTCTCTTTCTCCATCTCTCCTGACTTCCAGTTCCACTTTTTTTTTTGTTGTTGTTTTTTTTTGACAGAGTCTTGCTCTGTCGCCTAGGCTGGAGTGCAGTGGCGTGACCTCGGCTCACTGCAACTTCCACCTCCTAGGTTCAAGTGATTCTCCCACCTCAGCCTCCCGAGTAGCTGGGATTACAGGCACCGACCACCACGCCTGGCTAATTTTTTTGTATTTTTAGTAGAGACAGGGTTTCACCTTGTTGGACAGGCTGGTCTCGAACTCCTGATCTTAGGTGATCCACTTGCCTTGGCCTCCCAAAGTGCTGGGATTACAGATGTGAGCCACCGCGCCTGGCTCAGTTCCATTAATTTCACCCATTTCCTCTTTCCATTTCCAGCTCTTCATAAGGAGGAAATTCCCTCTCACCTTCCCTTCCTCTCTCTTTCCTTTATGAGGTGAAAATGTACCCTAATCATTGAAAAAGAAAAGAGCTAGGGATTTGTATGCTATCAAGAAAAAGTAATGACTGTAAGTGAAAATAAATGTTCTAAAGGGACATTAAACAAATACTAGACGTGATACATCCTCAAATACACGGAGCCCTCTTCCAACATTCTCCATTTATTTTTTTCCTTCCACTGATCAAACTTGTTTTTCACAAAATACCACTTTTGAGTTAAATAAAACACCATTGCAATTCCATTTTCTCTCCTGCTTCCTAATTGCTCTATTCACTTGTTTATTCACCCAACAGAATGTGTTTCTGTATTGCACACATACATCACGGCAGAGACTGTGGTCAGGAAAGGCTGTATTGAGAAAAAAAAGGCCACCTTTCTACAAGCCAGTGAAAATCAGGTTTGGAGAAAATTTAACATGGAAGGCTGGAACCAGAGAACACAGCTGTGTAGGATGGAACACTACAGATAAGTCATATATTTGGGTCCAGACTTCCTGCAGACCACTGGCTCTCAACCTTGGATGGACACAGAAATCATCTCTGGAGTTCAAAACAACAACCACAAAAACCCCAATGCCTGGTCTCAGAGTTTCTCATTTAATCCATCTGGGGTCCAGTGGGAACTGGGATTTTTATTTATTTTCATTTATTTATTCATTCATTTATTTTTGAGACAGGGTCTCACTCTGTTGCCTAGGCTGGAGTGCAGTGGCGCAATCTCAGCTCACTGCAACCTCTGCCTCCCAGGTTCAAGTGATTCTCCTACTTCAGCCTCTGGAGTAGCCAGGATTACAGGTGCCTGCCACCACACCCAGCTAATGTTTGTATTTTTAGTAGAGACAGGGTTTCACCATGTTGGCCAGGCTGGTCTCGAACTCCTGACCTCAAGGGATCCGCCCACCTTGGCCTCCCAAAGTGCTGGGATTACAGGTGTGAGCCACTGCACCCAGCCGGAACTGGGGTTTATTAAATGTCCCTCAGGTGATTCTAACATGCAGCCAAAATAGGTAGGTAGACCTAGAGAAAGGAACACAGTGGGTTCCAGGACGCTCATTTTACATAAAGAGAAATATGCTTTTTACCAGGAAAAGGTCCTGGGTAGAGGCACAGCTTTTCCAAACACATATTCCAGTAGGAATTTCTTGAGGTGGCCTTAGGTAAAAAAAAAAAAAAAAAAAAAAAAAAAAACTGCCTTGCTGTAGCCTGTCGTGGTATGACTTCCAATGCCAGAGCCTACGTGCCTCCAAGGGCAGCCCCAGGAGGACCACGTGGCCTCCGTCTTGGTGCTGTTGTTCCTGATATTGTAATAGTGGATGTGGGCGCTTCCCTGGGTTCCAGCTTCGCAGCAGATGCCATGGGCTCCCCATCATGTCGCTTCCTCTCCCTTCCCATCCAGTCCAGAAAAACTCCCAGGGTGATTATTCAGGTCAACATGAGCCTGGGGTGTGATCTCACCTTGGAACAAAGGAGGAATCCCAAGTGGATCCAGGTGCACTGGGCCACCCATTCACCCAGCAAGCACACAGCAAACGCCTGCTACCCAGGGGAGCCCCGACCCCAGGCTGGCCCTGGAATGAGTGCAACTCTTTGTCCAGGGGTCTCCACGCTTTTGTGAGGAAGAGCTACCTCTCCTTCCCACAGAGCCTGGAGATAGGTCCCTGGTCACAGTGGCATTCTGGGGGTTTTCAGAGAGTCCTGTAATGGATATCAAATCCTAGCCCAACAAGGGGTGACGGCAGGACTCTCCCCGGATTCAGGTCTATGTTGTATTCATCTCTGCACAGTTCCTGATAGACAGTGCATGCTCAGTAAATATTTGTTTAAAGAGAGAATGAACAGTTTAATGCATGAAGAAAAAGAATGACCCTAAAAGCCATCTCACAGAGGTGACACTGCTATAAAGGCTAGCAAAGCAAACTTAGGAGAGAAAGGAAGAAATTTTCATAGTCTTAGAAGCCTACAAACTGACCGTGGCTTTGTCTCATCTCTTCTTCCCTCCTTTTAAGGGCCTTTCACTCACCACGATATCAATATAAAACTGCCAATACTTGGGCCTGGCATGGTGGCTCACACCTGTAACTCTCAGCACTTTGGGAGGCCAAAATGGGAGGACTGCTTGAGCTCGGGAGTTTGAGACCAGACTGGACAACACAGCGAGACCCTGTCTTTACAAAAAAAAAAAAAACTTTAAAAGTCAGTGGGGCATGGTGGCTACTGAGGAGGCTGAGGTGGAAGGATCACTTAAGCTCAGGAGTTTGAGGCTGCAGTGAGCTATGATCACACCAATGTACTCCAGCCTGGGCAATAAAGAGAGAACCTGTCTCTAAAAAGCAAAACAGAACAATAAAAAATAACTGCTTATACTTGTGTTTATTTGACGTGTTCTCAATGTGTTAGAAGGCTTCTTAAATGGGATACCGAAAGCATAGGTAACAAAAGAAAAAACAAAAGCAACTGGACCTCATCAAAATGAAAACTTCTGTGCTTCAAAGCACACCATCAAGAAGATGGAAAGACAACCCAAAGAATGAATCATATATCTGATAGGGACTTGTATTCACAATACATAAAGAACTGTTCAACTCAATAGTAAAAAGACAACCCAATTTAAACACAGGAAAAGGATCTGAAAGTCATTTCTCCAAGAAAGATTCACGAATGATCAATAAGTATATGAACATAAGCTCAACATTAGTTATCAGGGAAATGAAAATCAAAACCACAATGAGACACCACTTCACACCCACTGGGACAGCTAGAACATAAGAGAGACAATTACAAGTGTTGACAAGGATACAAAGAAATTGCAATCCTCATATTGCTGGGAATTGCTGGTGGGAATGTAAAACGGTGCTGCCAGTTTGGAAAACTGCCTGGCAGTGCCTCAAAAGTTAAATGTAAAGTCACAATATGACCCAGCAACTCCACTCCTAGGTATATTCTCAAGAGAAATAAAAACGTATTTCCATACAGAAATTTGTACACAAATGTTTGTAGCAGCATTATTGATAATAGCCAAAAGGCGGAAACAACCCAAATTTCCTTTAACTGATGAATGAATAAACAGAACACGGTATATTCATACAATGGAATATTATCCAGCCCATAGAAAGGAAGGACTGATACATGGTACAACATGGATGAAACTTAAAAACATTTCGTTACGTGAAAGAAGTCATAAAAGACCAAATATCATACAATTCCTTCCGGGGACCCTGCAGCGGGGGAGGGCATAAGAGGACGGGGTTGACGGGGGGAAGCCAGGCAGGAGAGTCCTGGAGGGGGACGGTGGCCCCGTGTACAGCCTGCGCAGCTGCCAGAGTTCCTGAGGAGACCGAGGCGCAGACACCCCCCTGAGGCCATCTGACAATGAGCCTGCCTCCATTGGTCATTAGTGATGTCAGCTGGGGAGGGGCCTGGACAGAACCACACTTTCTGCGTTATAGAATCCAAGGTTATTGAGGATTTCATTCTAGATGGAGAAATGGGATGGAATGGCTTCTGTTCCAATGTCGAGGACTGTTCCACCTGGTTTTTTTTTTTTTTTTTTACCATGCTCACGAGGGGACACCTGGGGTCGCTGATAGAAGTTCAGCGGTTTGCCATTCGCCATTCTCAGGCTTGAAACTCTGTGCCTGGCCCAGGCCGAGAGGAACCTATCTGTCCGCAGGCTGACCGGGAGCCACCCTTCCCGCCACCTGCACGGGCCAGAGCCAAGTCCCGCCACCTGCACTGTGCTGTGTGGGCCACGGAAAGGCCAAGTGGCCCAGGGTGCACCTCTTTCCTCTCCAGGGCGCCCTGAGATGCAGGGAGCAGGCAGAGAAGAGAGAGGCCGAGGAGAGAAATAAGCCAAGCCCGGGGTCTGAGCAGGCTGCACCTGGCATCCGTCAGCATCTCACTCTCCTTTGAGGTAACACACGGAGCTGGAAGGACTGGGGGACGGAAACTCTGAGCCCTGAAAGGCCCCTACAGTGTGACCTGAGAAGATCTCTCAGAGAAGCTTCCAGAAATCCATCTGTGCCTCCCCGGCCCTCCCGCGATGGGACTCATGAGGGGCAGCAAAGAGCCCCGGGGGCGGGGGGAAGAGGAACCAGAGCCTGGCCTGAGGCCTCCTGCGGGATGGTGGACAGCTGAGGCTGCTCTGGAAAACTCCCTCTGGCCAAACTTCCCTCTTTTATGCTTCTTAGGATGGGGGCGGGGCGGGGGGGGGTTGTGATGAGAGGGAGGAGCGTGGTCCCTTCTTTCACTATTTATTCTACACATGTTGTGCTCTCTCACCTGGAGTGACTTCGAGTCATCCAATGTCACTAAAAATCCTTTCTTTTAGGTGAAGGAGTTTCCCTCACTTAATTCTCCCAAGAAAGATTCACGAATGACCAATAAGTATATGAAGATAAGCTCAACATTAGTTATCAGGGAAATGAAAATCAAAACCACAATGAGACACCACTTCACACCCACTAGGACAGCTAGAACATAAGAGAGACAATTACAAGTGTTGACAAGGATACAAATAAATTGCAATCCTCATATTGCTGGGAATTGCTGGTGGGAATGTAAAAGGGTGCTGCCAGCTTGGAAAACTGCCTGGCAGTGCCTCAGAAGTTAAATATAAAGTCACAATATGACCCAGCAACTCCACTCCTAGGTATATTCTCAAGAGAAATAAAAACATATTTCCATACAGAAATTTGTACACAAATGTTTATAGCAACATTATTCATAATAGCCAAAAGGTGGAAACAACCCAAATTTCCTTTGATGAATGAGCAAAACATGGTATATTCATACAATGGAATATTATCCAGCCCATAAAAAGGAAGGACTGACGCATGGTACAACATGGACGAACCTTAAAAATATTTCGTTACGTGAAAGAAGTCATAAAAGACTTCTTTTAGGTGAAGGAGTTTCCCTCACTTAATTCTCCCAAGAGGTGGCCCATTAAAGTGGTTTCTGGTCATCACACCTTAGTGAGTTAATGGCTATGGTCAGCGGAGTTCTGGGCCAATCCTTACAGCAGGTTTAGGCAAACACGTGCCCTTGTTTCACTGATGTGGCAGGAAAACGTGTTCTGATATTCATTTGTATGTTCCCCCCCTTGCACGCCCTGCCTCCTCCTCCAAGCTGGTCTCGGGTCCTGGCCTCGCCCCCTGGAGGGAGTTCTGTGTGCCCGACAGGTGCTGTGTCCCAGGCAGGAGCTGTGTCCCGGTCAGGTGCTGTGTCCCTGGCCTGCCTGCACCGAGGCTGGGGCATCCTGGCAGGATCAGAGGCCGCTAGGGAGGTGACAGAGTGGGGAGCAGAGGACACTTCCCCAGAACCGAGACGGGAGAGAGGGGCCAGATCTCAGAGCGGGGTGGCTGCTGCATCCACCAGAACAAACTCACACACTGGGGCCTCCACTCGGCAAAGAATCTCAAACTCAGGCCTGGCTGCTGCACGAAATCTCCAAGATGGAGGAATCTCAGGAGTCTGGACTAGAAGGGTACAGGGGCCACCAGATGCCTGGAACCCAGACTCTTCTGAGGCCTGGGGGAAGGGGAGGAAGGTCCCTCCCAGAATGCTTGAAATTGAATTTCCCCCCAACCCAATAGGGTGGACACTAGTGACTGATTAGAGGGAGGAAGAGGAGGGGAGGAGGGAAGGAGAGGAGGAGGGAAGGAAGGGAGGAGGGAAGGAAGGGAGGAGGGAAGGAAGGGAGGAGGGAGGGAATAAATCTGAGTCTTTGCCCCACAGAGTTTGTGGACACCAGTTCACACCAAGGAGACCTGCTTGTTGGGGGCGAAGCAGAAGCTCCGACTTCTGGGCAGTGTTCACAGTGCCTTCCCAGGCAGCCAGCAGACCCTCCATAGACACCTGCCCACTGTGGGAGGCGTGGGAGGCTGTCAGAGGTTAGGTCCACGAGAAAGGGAGGAGGGTCAGGGCGGCTGAACACCCCCTCAGAGGAAGGAGCCTAGGGGTTCTCCCCCCTTCCCCTGGGGCTGGTCT
Organism: Homo sapiens; assembly: GCF_000001405.40. NCBI lineage: Eukaryota > Metazoa > Chordata > Mammalia > Primates > Hominidae > Homo > Homo sapiens. The sequence continues at coordinate 151,832,575 of NC_000007.14, forward strand.
GCTGGGCACTGAGGCATCTCTGGGGGGGGGGTCCCAGCACAGCCCACCCTGGGTCCCTTCCACAGCGTGAGCCCCCCGTGCCTGCAAAGGAACGCAGGATCCATGTCCACTCCTGAGGGGCCGCTCTCGGGTACTCTCCAGGTGCTACCTGGGACTGAGGCGACAAAAGCTCAGAGCCCACCTCTGAGGCCCATCCTCAGACCTTCCCTCCCTCTTCTCTAGGTAATAAATGGGCAGCCTCCCAGAGACCCCTATCCCAGGCGAGCAGTTAGGACGGTGGCCATTTCCAGGGAGGCCCCGTGCCCTGACCCCACGTTGCAGGACCCGCTCCGGACTAGCCTGGTGTTCCTCCCAGGACACCCACACTGTCCCCTGAAAAGTGGGGGACATCTTGGAGGAGGTGGGCAGATCAGGTGTCTGAGGTTGCTGGCACTCACTCGTTTATGGTGCACCAGCCCTGGAAGATTCAGGAACAGAAAGACAGACAGCGTCCATCACGAAGCTGGCTTTCCAGTGGAGAGGCGCATGTCAAAATAAAAAGCTAATTTCATTCCGGTAAGAACTGTAAGAGAATCAGGTGTGATCAGTGCAACAGAGAGCGCGTGAGTCTTTTGATTAGATGGTCACGGAAGGCCTCGTGGAGATCTGTGGGGTGGACCTGAGAAAGGGAACTGACCATTGGAAGCTGGGACAGAGCACCCCGGGCAGGAGGGTAGCCAGTGCAAAGGCCCTGAGGCAGGGCTCGGGAGTGTGCAGCGGGAAGGGTTCTCATCCCTGCTCATCCCTGAGCAGGACAGGGTGTGACGAATGATGTTCAAAGGCTGTTCCAGCTGCTGAGCGGAGGAGGCCCTGGAAAGGAGAGGGTGGAAGCGGCAGGGAGGGCCCTGGGGAAGTCTGCAGGGATGGTGCGGGTGAGAGACAGCCCTGTGGGTGCCGCCCTCACCTGCGCTCTGCTATAGAGAGGAGAGCCAGAGCGGGGCGGCAGGAGTGTCTGTCTCGGCTCTTAAGCCGATGGACGCTCCAGAAACCCATCTGGTCCCCAGCCCCAGCACCAGCCAAGATCCTTCTAACTCCAGCGGGCTTTTCAGTTGTTCCAGGGGTGGGGGATAGTTTGGAGAAATAACACTTCCCCTGTGATTAACACATTCAGAAAGGGGCAAAGGGGAGGTTGGCACGAGGCAAGCCCAGAATCCAACTGGCATAAAAAATAAGTCCTTAATGAGGAAAGGTTCACAGCCTCCCCGCTGTGCCTCCCCCAGATGGCGGGAGGGGGTGTGTTCTGTGGGGTGCCCAGTGCACTGGCACACAAGCACACTGCCCCCGCTGGGAGCCTGAGGCCACAGCCAGCATTTCCACCTCACCGTCCATCTCTCCTTCCTCTAGGAGAAGGCCCGGCCCATGGCGGGGGCCAGGCAGGGATAACAGAATAGTGAATCTACTTAAAAAGTTACCTTTGCTAAATACTCACCTTACTGCCAGTTTCTGGAGGAAAAAAAAAATAGAAAATGGCAGCAGGTGGATCATTCCCCGACAGCAGTTAAATGCACCTTGGAAAGAACAAGGTTTCTGCCCAGCAGCCCCCAACAGGGCTGACCCTGAAAACTTAAGGACAAATTCAAACAAGGTGTCAACTCAAGTCACAGAATTTGGTGATCATGATTTGTCTTAAACTGACTCCCACTTCTAAGGGAATGAGAAAGTACACCCAAGATGACCTGAGCCACAATTTTTGGTAAATTAAGTCCTGTAACCAGGTACAGGTGATTCCCGTTACTCAAGGTGGTTTTGCTCCACAAAGTCGCCAGGCACACTGAGTTAGCAAATGCTGAGCCATTGTTTTCAGGGGAGGTGCAGGGTTAGCTTCCTGGGAGCCTCTGGCCACGTTTTTGTCAACCAATCAGTACATCACGTTGTTTGATGTGGGTTTCTGTTTAAATAAAGGCACGGGTGTCCCTGTTTGCACCGCACAGCGCACCCTCAGGTGAGAGTCTTCCGGGCTGAACATCCCATCTCCACATAGTGGGAGGAGGAACACCCAGCACTACCCCTACTTGCTGGAATGTGGACCATCTGGGGTCGGAAGGGACCCTGGAAAGCATCTGATGAGGTGCAGAGAGGTTTAAGCCCCCACCCCAGGAACGGAGTGGAGGGAGTGTGGAGGGCTACGGCGCAGTGCCGCCCCTCCCCATCGCTGTGGGTGAGTCTCCTGGGGGGCTTTGAACAACAGAAACGCACCATCTCCCAGTTCCGGAGCCCGGAAGTCCGAGATCAAGGTGTCGGCAGGGCTGGGTCTCTCTGAGGCTGAGAGGGAGAATCTGTCCAGGCCTTTCTGCCAGCTACGGGTGGCTGCCGGCCATCTTTGGGGTTTCCTGGCTTGTAGAAGCATCACCTTGATCTCCACCTTCATCCTCACCAGAGGTCTCTCCGGGCATATCTGTGTCCAGAATCCCCCTCATACGCAGATGCCAGCCATGTGGAAAAGGGCCAGCCTGCTCCAATGTGGCCTCATCAAAACTCATCACATCGGAAACGACCCTGTTTCCAAAAGAGGTCACATTCACAGGTACAGAGGGTTAGGATTTGGACACATCTTTTAGGAGACACACAATTCAACTCATAACAGGGTGCCCTTAGAAAGGTTTTATGTTCATTTGTTTTTAGGGTCAGGGTCTTGCTGTTTTCCAGGCTGGAGTGCCATGACACACACGATCTTGGCTCACTGCAGCCTTGACCTCCTGGGCTCAAGTGATCCTCCAGGTAATATTTTTATTTTTTATTATTTTTATTATTTTTAATTTTTTGTAGAGACGGGTCTCCCTATGTTGCCCAGGCTGGTCTCGAACTCCTTGGCTCAAGTGATCCTCCCACCTCGGCCCCACAAAGTGCTGGGATTACAGGCATTAACCACCACACTCGACACCCTTAGAAAGTTTTCAGAAATTGCTCTTGTCTGCCTGCTTACCCTTCCGAGGCATCTAACAGCATCCTCCCTGGCCTAAGCCTGGGAGCCTTCCTAAAGGCGTAAGCTCGCCTTTAGGAACCACTCTCGTTGTGGTTTTAAATTGTCATCACTTGCCAGATAAGGAGAGGTTGCTGTATGGACAGACACACAAGGAGACTGACCCAGGTCCTGTTGCAGGACAGTCACCCAGCATCCTGGCCCCACCCTGGGCTTCCATTGGTCTGGATCGGACATCCCGGGGGCTCTCGTGGGCAGCCTGGTGATGCCAGGAGGAAGGGCCCACTGTGATGGCAGATTGCTGGCTGCTCACCGTGATGAAAGTGCATCTGTCCCACAAAGGGCAGCCTTTCCGTATTCAAGAGTGGGGTGCAGCTCAGGGAGGCATCGGAGATGGGGACTGTGACGAGGCCAATCCACGGGCATTGATTGCTCCATGGACCAGCGTGTCTGAGCTCCCTGTGAATGTATCTAATTTGTGGGACTTGCAGGACCCAGGACCCAGTGCACATCCTGAGTCTAACTCACCCCGACATTTTTTGGTTTTAAACCAGTGAGATGTGATTACAATGAATATTCATGACCGCTTCCCATATCCTGAGTTTTGTCTTCGGCCGTGTCTTTGGAGCATTCCTTCCCCTATAGCATGATTTCTCTTTTATGTTTTGTCTGTCATCTCTTCCCCAGGAGACTGAGAGACTCGGGGGAGCAGGGGCTGCGTCAGGACCCCCTTTCTGCCACCCCCAGCACCAGCCCGAGACAGACTGTGGTCTGACTGCAGGCTGACACACCTGGGTCCACAGGCTGGATTCTCAAGAGGGGCGAGAGAATGGGGTGGTGGCTGCCCCAGGCCAGCTGGTCCAGGCAGCTTCCCTGATCACCGCAGTGACGCTCCTGCTCAAGCTGGGAGAACCAGGGTCAAGTCCCTTCACTCAGTCACCAAAACAAGAAACAAAAACAACAACAACAACAAAGGCAAGGTGGACCCATCGCTGGCTCCTCTGCCTCCAGGGGATCAGAACTTGCCCCCTTCCCAGTGTGAATTCCCCTCCGATGGGGTGTGGAGGCTGGGGTAGTCTCTAGGCTGTCCCAGCTGTGCCTCTGGCCTCCTGTCTGGGTGCAGCCTTAGCGGGGCACAGGAGGGCGTGTATGCGGGTCCTCCAGGGTCCTCAGGCCACAGCTCCTGGGCTGGAGAACTGTGAGGTAGGACCTAGCCCCTCGGGTCCCCTGCCCTCTCCTCCTGGCAGGTTCTCTGGCTTTAGGCATTAATGTCCTGTGACAAATTCACTTAGGACTAAGAAGCCACTGAGAATATTCAGTTCTTGGATCATCCACAACAGCGGAAGCAGAACAGAGTGAGCACTCCAGACGCGAAAGGGCCCGGCCCAGCCAGCTTGCGGGGACCCCCGAGACGAGGTCCCTGCCAGACTGCCAATGTTTATTTGAGGCTATTTGTTTAAATTCAACTTGAACCCCGGTTACCTCCAGCTCAGCCCTGCCCTGGGCGCTGCGAGGAAAACAAAGCCACACCACACCGTGCACAGCCGTCTTCACATCTCTGGAAGACATCACCGTACAGGAGCGGTGGGGAGACAGACCGAATCCCATAAAGTGTGACCTCCTGCCACTGCCACAGCCAGGGCAGAGTGCCCTTCGGGGCTACACAGCTCCCCCCACCACCCCAATCATTACAGGAGAAAGCAAATTGGTGAGACCTGGTATTTTTCATTAAACAGATAAAGTTTATTTTCTTCAAATAGTATCAGAAATATTTTGAAATGACCCTCAATTCCACATTGGGGTCAATTATGGGGGAGGGAAAGGGGGAAAGTGGACAGGAAGATAAGGTGGAAGAAGAGGGAGAGAAAGAGGCAGTGCTGGCCCACGGGGATGGCAGCTGGGGGTGAATCCGGGCGACCCTCCCTCCATCCAACCGTCGGCGCTCGCAGGGCGTTGAGAGTGCTTCACACAAACGGAGAGAAATGGTTGATATTAGTATAGTCATGGTTAATATAAACCTTAAATACCTTTTTAAAGATTAGAAGCTGAGCTGGGAACGGGGCAATCAGGCAGCCTCGAGGGGGGACTGCAGGGAGCAGGGGAGAGGCTTAGAGAGTTCTGAATGCCACACGCGAGGCACTTTTCTCAGGGGGCTCTTAAGCCCTAACACCTTTATAATTTCCCCTTAAGATGCTAATGATCTATTAATCACTGTTTCTGGCTGACTTCCCTTTACACCAGTGCCTTCAGAAGCTCCCCTACCGAGTGGGCCTGTCTTAGGGAGGAATTACTTCCTACAGCTAATCCAGAGTTCCCGCCCCCTGCAACAAAACCCACAGCAGCTTCTCCTCCGGTAAAGCCGGGATCTGAGCAGACAGTCACTCCTGTGGGCAGCGCTGGCTGGAAAGGACACTGGAGCAGGCCGCGCCTGGGCCTTGGAGACACGCACAGGACCCTGGAGGAGGCCACACCTGGGCCTCGGGAACGCGCACAGGACCCCGGAGGAGGCCACACCTGGGCCTCGGGAACAGGCACCAGCAGAGGCAGGACTGGAAAGGACAGGAGAGGCTGGGCCCACATTTAATCTCTGTTCCCTCTCCCTCCACAGTGGTGCCTTTATTTCTAGAAGCAACGAAGGAAACACAGTAGACTCAGAGCCAGAAGAGGAAGAGGAGGCCAGCTCCCACTGCTGCAGCACTCAGCTGGGGTCAGCGGGGCTGTGGCGTTGCACCACTCCATGAAGGGCCTGGTGTCCCTTGACTTGGACACCCTCGACCCTGCCAGGCTCGGCCCCACAGCCTTGCTCAATCCCCTCAGCACCCTCGTCTCCAGCAGACGGGTATCCTGGACATGTCTCACCTGATTTGACACAAGACCACCAAGACAAGGGGCAGGTGGGTGCAGTGGCTCACATCTATAATCCCAGCACTTTGGGAGGCTGAAGCAGGAAGATTGCTTGAGCCCAGGGGTTGGAGATCACCCTGGGCAACATGGTAAAACCCGTCTCTACAAAAAATACAAAAATTAGCCAGGTGTGGTGGTGCATGCCTGTGGTCTCAGCTACTCAGGAGGCTGAGGTGGGAGGACCGCTGGAGCCAGGGAAGTCGAGGCTGCAGTGAGCTGTGTTTGCTCCACTGCACTCCAGCCAGGGAGATAAAGCAAGACCCTGTTTCAAAAAAAAAAAAAAAAAAGTAAAGAAGGCCAGGCACAGTGGCTCACACCGGTAATCCCAACACTTTGGGCGGCTGAGACAGGCAGACCCCTTGAGTTCAGGAGTTAGAGACAAGCCTGGCCAACATGGTGAAACCCCATCTCTACTAAAAATACAAAAATTAGCCAGGCGTGTTGGCTCATGCCTGTAGTTCCAGCTACTCGAGAGGCTTAGACAGAAGAATCGCTTGAACCCGGAAGGCAGAGGTTGTAGTGTGCAGAGACTGAGCCATTGCACTCCAGGCTGGGCAACAGAGTGAGACTGTCTCAAAAAAAAAAAAAAAAAAATAGAAAAGGGGCAGCTTCCTCTGAAGCCAGCTCTGCAGACTGGCAGCTGCCTGACACCTCAGCCGGGCCATTTCCTGAACGGCTAGGCAGGGGCACGTTGGGCTTTAACTGCCCTCAGCCCCACCCCAACCAGGGCTCGCTGCACCAGAAGCTTCCTAGAAAACCACATCTTTTCTGCTAAGAATCAGAAAAGTCGTGATATTCTCAGACATCAGCCAACTACAGACTGGCCTGCAGAAGGAAGGAAAGTAGAAGGAGGAAGTCAAGTGATGCTGGGGCAAGGCAGCGTGGCCGGGCACCGCGGTCGGAACTCTCGTGCTGGTTTGCAGCTCAGAAGCGGTCCGCAGCCCCTGCCGTCCAGCCCTAACCCTGACCTCTTTAGGCCTCAGTTTCCCCACCTAGACAAGGATGATGGTCCATGAGTCTGCTATTTTTCATTGAGCAACCTTGTACTCAGTGCCTGTTCGGAATGAGAATAGCAATGTCTACAGTTCCAATGCTTTCGCCACACCTTACTCATGTCTTGTATTTAAATCCGGTCTGATGATTTACATAATGCTTCACCCACGAGAATTCCTTCAGCAGGGAATGAGGGTGTCATGGAGACGCCGCCTCGGGCCTCGGTAACCACTAGGGAAGAAACGCCAGGGACACCTGGTCCTGACTTGGGATCTGGTGCTCCAGGCTCTAGCTCTGTCCATAGCCCAAGGGTGCTGAGCCCCAAGTGGTCACACCTGCAATGTCACTGAGCTTGGGTAGTGGTCCATCCAGGGCCAGCCAGCCCAACGTAGCAGGGGCCCGCCTTCCCCAGGGACACCGTGTGGCCCAGGAGCCACAGCAGAGGAAGCTGAGCAGGGCGGCAGAGGAAGCTGAGCAGGGTGGCAGCTCCCTGGGAGGCCACACCTGTACCCCAGGGGTTCTTGGACAATTGGGGGCAGGGCTCAAGAGGGAGATCAGATATCCCCCTAACAAAGAGAGTGGGGGCTGGAGCGGTGAATTTGGACACTGAAAGAGGAGTGACTGTATTTGTACCCTGAGTGTGTGCGCCAGTCCTTGAGGGCATTACATTTTACATTACGTTTGTAATCAGAAAAGTAGACTTTCAAAAGAAGACATCATCTAAGTTACTTGTTAGGAGTGGCAGATTCATCTCCCCGGAGCTGGTGACAGTAGGGAGGCATTTGAAAAGGTGCCTGGACAGCACAGGCCTTGAGGGAGGACAGGTCCTCCATGCCCAGAATGCAACTGGCTGGCTAAGGTGCCTTCGAGGTTCCCCAGGCTGCCTGTGTAGAGAAAGCAGCAGCTGGCCCAGCAGCCCAGCTGCAAAGGGCCCTCACCATGCACCAGTTAGTTACTCATTCATTCATTTAGATGAGGTCTCGCTCTGTCATCCAGGCTCAATCATAGCTGGGTGGGGCAATCATAGCTCACTGCAGCCTCAACTTCCTGGCCTCAATTGATCCTCCCATCTCAGCCTCCTGCCTCTGTGCACCTGTCCCGAGGCCCCAACCTGCAGTCCTGAGACTACAGATGCATCTGGCCCCCGGACCTGCACTGTGTGGATGTGGCTTCTGTCAGTTCACTGCCTCAGGAGCAAGAGTAGGAATGGGAGGTCCTCCCAAGATGGAAGTTCACTGTTCTGTGAAACATGAACCCCCCGGACCTCCGTCGCCAGAGTGGTCCAGCAGGGTGCACAGGGGCTCCGGCCCCAAGCCGGCCTGCTTCTGATGGAGGGGTTTACACCGGAGCGAGGAGCTGCCCACCCGAGTCTCAGGCTCCTCATTCATCAACTGTGGATGTTGTTAGTTTAAGAATATAAAGTGCTGCCGGGCACGGTGGCACCTACAGTCCCAGCTACTTGCGACGCTGGGGCAGGAAGATCACTGGAGCCCAGGTGTTCAAGTCCAGCCTATGAGACAGAGTGAGACCCCATCTGATTGACTGATTGATTGGTTAATTGATTAATTGATTGGTTGAGACAGGATCTCACTCTGTTACCCAGCCTGAAGTGCAGTGGTGCGATCTCAGCTCACTGCACCCTTGGCCTCCTGGATTCAAACAATTCTCTCACCCTGCCTCCTGAGTAGCTGGGACTACAGGTGCCTGCCACCACACCAAGCTAATTTTTTTATTTTTTGTAGAGACAGGGTTTCCCTATGTTGCCATGGCTGGTCTCGGACTGCTGGGCTTAAGTGATCCTCCCATCTCAGCCTCCCAAAGTTCTGGGATTACAGGCATGAGCCACCGTAGTGAGGGTAGCAGTGGTGGTAGTAACAGTAGGTAGTGATGGTAGTGATGTTAGTGATGGTAGGTAGTAATGATAGTGATGGTAGGTAGTGATGGTAGGTAATGATGGTAGTGATAGTAGGTAGTGATGGTAGTGATGGTAGGTAGGGATGGTAGTGATAGTAGGTAGGGATGGTAGTGATAGTAGTGATGGTAGGTAATGATGATGGTAGTGATGGTAGGTTGGGATGGTAGTGATGGTAGGGATGGTAGGGATGGTAGTGATAGTAGGTAGGGATGGTAGTGATGGTAGGTAGTGATGGTAGTGATGGTAGGTAGTGATGGGTAGTGATAGTAGGTAGGGATGGTAGTGATAGTAGTGATGGTAGGTAGTGATGATGGTAGTGATGGTAGGTAGGGATGGTAGTGATGGTAGTGATGGTAGGTGGGGATGGTAGTGATGGTAGGTAGTGATGATGGTAGTGATAGTAGGTAGTAATGGTAGTGATGGTAGGTAGTGATGATGGTAGTGATAGTAGGTAGTAATAGTAGTGATGGTAGGTTGTGATGGTAGTGATGGTAGGTAGTGATGGGTAGTGATGGTAGGTAGGGATGGTAGTGATAGTAGTGATGGTAGGTAGTGATGATGGTAGTGATGGTAGGTAGTCATGGTAGTGTTGGTAGGTAGTGATGGTAGTGATGGTAGGTAGGGATGGTAGTGATGGTACGTAGTGATGGTAGGTAGGGATGGTAGTGATGGTAGGTAGGGATGGTAGTGATGGTAGTGATGGTAGGTAGGGATGGTAGTGATGGTAGGTAGTGATGATGGTAGTGATGGTAGGTAGGGATGGTAGTGATGGTAGGTGGGGATGGTAGTGATGGTAGGTGGGGATGGTAGTGATGGTAGTGATGGTAGGTAGTGATGATGGTAGCAATGGTAGGTAGGGATGGTAGTGATGGTAGGTAGTGATGATGGTAGCAATGGTAGGTAGGGATGGTAGTGATGGTAGGTAGTGATGATGGTAGCAATGGTAGGTAGGGATGGTAGTGATGGTGGGGATGGTAGTGATGGTAGGTAGTGATGATGGTAGCAATGGTAGGTAGGGATGGTAGTGATGGTAGGTGGGGATGGTAGTGATGGTAGGTGGGGATGGTAGTGATGGTAGGTGGGGATGGTAGTGATGGTAGGTGGGGATGGTAGTGATGGTAGGTAGTGATGATGGTAGCGATGGTAGGTAGGGATGGTAGGGATGGTAGTGATGGTAGGTAGTGATGATGGTAGTGATGGTAGGTAGTGATGGTAGTGATGGTAGGTAGTGATGGTAGTGATGGTAGGTAGGGATGGTAGTGATGGTAGGTAGTGATGATGGTAGCGATGGTAGGGATGGTAGTGATAGTAGTGAGGGTAGGTAGTGATGATGGTAGTGATGGTAGGTAGGGATGATGGTAGCGATGGTAGGTAGTGATGGTTGTGATAGTAGTGATGGTAGGTAGTGATGGGTAGTGATGGTAGGTAGTGATAGTAAGTAGCGGTGGTAGCATGGGGATGCTGCCGTGAAGCAGAGGAGGCTTCACAATTCTGATTGTGAAGGCTTCAGAACTCTGATCTTCTCAATTCAGGTGGAAACGTGTCTTTAGGATAGAAAACAAGTAAACTGCAGGATTCCCTTCAAGGTCTAGTTCTTCCCTGTCCCTACTTTGGGACACTGCTGAACAGGCTCCATCTGAGTTCAAGAATCTGGGTGTATCTGTGCAGGCCAACAAGCCAATACAGCAGGCATTTGAAAGACACACATACACGCAGGCCATGCTTTTAGTCATGCAAACACACAGTGTCTATATATCTATGTGCACAGATTTCTGGGCATGAATATATGTGTTCCAAGCCCCAGTGTACCTACAAGTTTTGATATAAACCTACACACAGACGTGCAGCATATGTACACAGATAATACTTAAGTGTCCACATGTCTAGAACCTGGAACAAAGCTGCATATAAAAGCAGATGGAACACAGCAGCAGGGCTATGTCTCACGTTGTCGTTTCCTGAAGCTGATGTACATGAGACACTTCATTCTAGTTCTGTGGTTTCTGCAAGGAACTGGTGGGCCAACCATTCCTAAGGAATATGGTGTTGACAAGCTGAAGACAGGCTGCACCATCACGCGGCTACAGCTGTTGTTCTGAATTTCAAATCTGGTGGCTTCATTGTTGTTTTCCCAAAAGTTTCATGAATTATGTCACCAAAAAACTCACTGATTTATGGAGTAAAGTTGAAGCAATATCTAGTTGGTGTGTTTTCAAAGAGAATAAATGGATTTCTGCTTGCACTTCTATTCCCAGAGCTGAGTATTTGAGTGTTTGTTCTAGGATCTGGTATCACACAGCCTTATCTCTATCCCCACTGGGGTGAGGCCCCCCAAGGAAGTTTAGGCTGGAACTTGAGACCACTTATCACCAAATTAATAAAATAGATTCATTTGGAATCAGCTGACTCAAAGCAGGAAGACTTGGACCCAATTCAAACATCTAGACCAAAACCTACACTCTGTTTGGTTAAGATCGGATAGAAATTCTTCCTCTTCACATCTCACATCCATGGACATGTCATGGCAGAAGGCTCCATCGTCCTCAGAGCCCAGCCAGGGAAGGTGAGCAGGAGGCAGCACATGGCTGCCCACCTCTGTAGAATTCCAAGGAACAGAAGCTTTTTAAAAATTCAGATTCCAAGGCCTCAGCCTGGGCCTCCTGACTCCTGGCCAGGGTTTGGAGATGTAGAAGGAGGTAGAAGGAGGAGATAGAAGGAGATGGAGAAGAAGGCATGAGTCAGTTTCCTCCCACACTCCAGGCCTTTCCCAGGGGTTGGGGAAGCCCTTGGGAAGCTCTCCTCTTTTGCTGCAGAGATAGAGAAAGAGCGTGGCTCTGAAGTTGTGGCAGTGTCCCTCAGAGACTGGTCACTCACTACTACAGACCACAGGCAGGCCAGTGCTCCCTCTGGGCCTCAGTGTACTCTTCTGTAAAATGGGAAGATCATACTGGGTGACCTCATCCCTAACACCTCGTCTCTAGCTCTCAACTTCTACCACTCCGCGAAGTCGTGTGGGCTGGAAGTCAGAGCGGCTTCCTCAAAGAGGCGGAAGAGGACCCATCACATGAAGGGGCTGGTTTGGCGAGGCAGAGGTGGGAAGGAACGGGGGTAAAAACCCTCCCACCTGGGTGAGCGTGTCCATCGGAGCAGTGGTTCTCAAATGAGAAGCCCTTCCCCATGAGCGAATCACAAAGTTATTTTAGGTAGGTCATACGAAATAGAAAGAGATACGAAACGTAGAACAGACAATAACTCAGTGCCTGGCAAACAGTGAGCACTATGCAAACACGAGTTATTATTTCTATCGTGAGTCATGGTCCAAAAGTTTGAAATACACTAACTTTCTGTGGCTCACTGTCTCTATTTCGTCACCAGCATGTGACCTCCATGAGTGAGGGATTTTTGACAGTTCTGTTCACTCTTAAAGCCCCGTGTCTAAAACAGTGCCCGGCACAAAGTAAAGGCTCAGTAAGTATTTACTGGATGAATAAATCGGTATCATTCCATGCAATTGTTGTCACATACATATATTCCCTCTTGGGCTAGACCGCCTGGGTCTGAGTCTGGCAGATGAATTCTGTGCTCCCCAGCCCGGCAAACCTCCCTGGGACACGGGGACGTCACAGCTCCTCTTCTCGGTGCTGTTGAAAAGAGTGTATGCGGAGCTCCAGGGATGGCGGCAGGCAGCCTCCGCCCCGCACAAGGGTGCTGGGAGACATCTGTCCCTCCCCACCTGCCCCTGTTCCCAGCTGCCCCCCACATCTCAACCCCACAGTTCCCTTTCCTGGCAGGATCACTGCTCGGCATCCCTCTCCTGGCAGCGACAAAAATGGCCCTCTTCACCCCGACAGCCTCTTCTCCTCGTCTGTGGCCTGCTTGAGCCAGGATGGGACTCATTTCCTTCTCAGGTGAAGACGTTGTTAGTGGAGAAAATGAATCTTGGGCTAATGAGCTGATCAGAACCTTGAGCTGCAAGAGGGCTCCGGCTCTCTTCAACTCCTGGCCCAGTGGTCCTCAGAGCGTGGTTCCCGGACCAGCAGCGTCCTTGTCAACCTAGGAACTTGCTAGAAAAGCACATTCATGAACCCGCCTCAGACCTACTGAACGGAAAACTCGGCGGTGGGGCCCAGCCTCCAGGTGACCCCAGAGCTTGCTCAAGTTTGAGAACCACCAGCCTAACTATTGTTGAGGAGGGAGGAAGCGGTGGTGGCCCCACTTGGAAGTCTGGGCCCTGGCAGCATCAGGACTGACTCGTGGGGGAGGCGCTGGGAAGGGAAAGGCGGTGGCTGCCGTTTTCAGATGCCTGCCTCCCTTCCCAACCTCGTCATCCTCACAAGGGGAGGTGGCTGCCAAGTCACCTAAATGCTGAGGGCGGCAGGTAGTGGGAGCCGCATTTCCCAAAACACTGCGGGGGCGGGAAAGGCCCCACCTAGGAGATCAGAGCTCTTCCCAAACACCAACGGCAACCCCAGCTCATCGGAGCCACCAGGAATAATTCTTGCCATTAGCCCCAGAGTCTGCCGCTCCCTCAGGGTCCCTCTCCCGGCATCTGGGGGCTGGATTTTCACACACACAGTGTGTATGGTCCCGGAACACAGACGGGTGCTGTCCTCAGATCGGGGGCTAGCAGGGTCTGGAGGAGCCCTCCTCAACAGATGAGTCCCTGTGACATGACTTTCCAGAGCCAGACCTCCCGGCCTGATCAGTGCTCGCCCCTACTTGCGGTGTGTGAGCTGACACGATTTACCCTGATGGGCAGCTGTTTATTTTTACAATTTATGGTGAACCATGTTAGAAGTTTTCCATTTCTTCTAGTCTTAGAAAGTTTCTTTTAAAAATAAATGTAAGGCCGGGCGCGGTGGTTCACAGTTGTAATCCCAGCACTTTGGGGGTGGGCAGATCACTTGAGGTCAGGAGTTCGAGACCAGTCTGGCCAACATAGCGAAACCCCGTCTCTACTAAAAATACAAAACTTAGCTGGGTGTGGTGGCGCACGCCTGTAATCCCAGCTACTCAGGAGGCTGAGGCAGGAGAATCACTTGAAACCGGTAGGCAGAGGTTGCGGTGAGCCAAGATCGCACCACTGCACTCCAGCCTGACGACAGAAACTCCGTCTCAAAAAAATTTAAAAATAAAAAAATAAAAATAAGCTTAAAAATTGCACTTGGATATAAAAATTGTGCAGGTGTGAATGGCTGCAATTTGGAACTACCCTATCCCACAACGCCACCTCTGTTTCTGAGGGACACCGTAACTTAGGACGCTGGCAGGAGGTGGTATATGAGACCCTTTGTGCATGTATGTCTGTATGTGTAGGTGTGTATGCGTGTGCATGTGGATGAGTGTTTGGACGTGTAGATAAAGTGAGTATTCTTCTGGTTATCTTTGTATCTTTGTAAAATGAATCCCCCTCTTATAACCACCATAGGGCTTCATAAATGCCATGTCCTACAGTATTCTTCTGTAGTTGGATTCTAGGACGTTTGCATGACTGTTCTAAAAAGCTTGGTCATATTTGAAGAGGAGGACAGTCCACTAACACGCACAGCTGGGAATGAGATCCAGTTTTGCAAAGGGATTTGTGTTTTAATGACACAAATGTGAGTCCTCATCTGCTTCTTAAACTGTCAGCAAGATCACCAAGGCTGTTACTAATGTAAGTGTGTATGGGGGTAAGCGGCTGGGTGAGGGACTGCTAGGTAAATGCTCTCGGCCTTGTACCTGTGCAAAGCCCATGCTTGACGGGGGATGCCCGAGAGGGAAATGGTTCTGGAATCTCCCAGTGAAACCGCCTGGACTTTGCAGGAAGACTGCAGCCTTAGGCTGGGGTCCCTGATGTCTAGTGTTATTCTGGGTACACAGCAGTGTCCACACAGCAGATACCAGCTTAACTGTGTGGCCGAGATGGTACAGTGAAGAATATTCCTCTTGGCCAAGCATCCAAAGGGAGCCCCTGAGCTGCCGGTAATTTTCCTCTGGCCAAGGGTTAGCAGGCTGGGGCGACAGGAGCCTACTGAGAGTGAATTAGGCAGGTGGCTCTTAGCTGACTTTTCCTTCTATGATCAGCTCTGTTCCTTTTCTCAAGCCACATCCTCACGGACGCTGGCCTTGAGCTCTTGTCCCCGAGCCTCTCTCTCTAGGAACTTGTCCTTCCCACAGGACATCGACACCTGAGACCCTGTGAAGCACCCCACTGAGGCTGTACCCCCTGGCCTTCCCAGCCCCATCACTCATCCTGGGGCACTGCTCATCTTCTGAAGGCTCAGAGCCCTTTTCCTTCCAACACGACGATGAGCTAACCTGGTATATAACCACGCGGCAAAGCACCGACAAGCTCCGCTGGGGCTGCTCCAGCCCTTGCTCCCAGCCTGGGCACCTGAGTCTTTCGAACTGGCTCTTTCTTCCAGACACAATGCTTCTGTCCTCTGGGGTTTCAGGTGTAGAGAAAAGGAGGCCACCCTGTGAGGTTGGCGCCCGGAAGCATCCGTTTAGGCAGGTGAAGCTGGCAGCTCACACGGGCTCCCCGGAGCAGACTGGGGGTGTCTTTCCCCAGCTCCATTAACTGAGGCCATGTGGAAATCTTCCATGGTGGGAACATTTACACCACAGCAGTCAGGAAACACTATGAATCAGAGCTGCTTTTCTAAAGAGTCAGTTGCTAAAGAGTGCCCGTGGCCCAGCGGCTTTTAAACTACGCCACCCCTCCCTCCTGCACTGTGAAGTCAGATTGCAGAGACGAGGCTGAGGACTTCAGCTTTCAGGATGGGAGCAGATGAAACCTTTGGATAAATACTGCTATGGTTTGAATGTTTGTGCCTCCTACAAAATTCATGCTGAAACTTAATCCCTCATGCAACAATATTAAGAAGTGGGCTTGGGGGTGGTTAGGTCATGAGGACAGGGCCCTCAGAAATGGGTTACTACTCTTAGAAAAGAGCTGGAAGGAACCAGTGAGGCCTACTTTTGTCCATGTGAAGTCACAGTGTGCAAGGTGCCACCTTGGAAGCAGAGACCAGGCCCTCACCCAACACCGAACCTCCTGGCACCACCCTCGTCTCGGACTTTCCAGCCTCCAGAACTGGAAATAAATTTCTATTCTTCAGAAATCACCCAGTCTCGGGTATTTTGTTATAGCAGTACAAACAGATGAAGAAAATACTGCATGTCTTTTTTTTTTTTTTTTTTTTTTTTTTTTTGAGATGGAGCTTCGCTCTTGTTGCCCAGGCTGGAGGGCAGTGGCGCAATCTTGGCTCATTGCAACCTCCACCTCCCATGTTCAAGCAATTCTCCTGCCTCAGCCTCCTGAGTAGCTGGGATTACAGGCCCCCGCCACCACCCCTGGCTAATTTTCATATTCTTAGCAGAGACAGGGTTTCACCATGTTGGCCAGGCTGGTCTCAAACTCCTGACCTCAGGTGATCTTCCTGCCTCGGCCTCCCAAAGTGCTGGGATCACAGGCGTGAGCCACCGCACCCAGCCTACTGCATGTCTTTTGATCTACCTAAAAATAAGAAAATGATAATAAGGATAATAAATAACTTTAAAAATTAAATTGGACTTCCGTCAGCAGACATCATCTCATTTGATCTTCACAGCCCGCAGGTGAGGAGAGTTGGGGAGGCCAGCCACCGAGCCGTACGGGTTGGCTCAGGCAGGCCCAGGACCTGGGTACTGCTCCACGGTTCCTCTCCCAATGGCTCCTGCAGGGTGTTCTGAACGAAAATGGGTTCCCATTTAGGAAGTTCTTTGTGATCCTGGAATACAGGGGCGTGGTGGAGACCTCGAGAATTCTAACCGTGTTGGGGAAACGAAGACGCAGAGGCAGTGCCCCCTGCCTGGCAGGCCGCAGGCCCTGAGACACAGGCTGCCTGGGGAAAGGGGCCTCCGATGCACCGTGCTTTGGAGAAAGTTTCTGGCAGGGCCCTGCTCCCTCCCACACGGGGCGGTCTGGCCATGCCAGCTAGGCTCTGTTTTCTGGAACTTGGCCCTTCCCTTCCGCAGGAGTCCAAGCGATGTCAGGATGATGGTGGGGAAGTTCTTAGTCAAGAATCTCCGTGCCTCAGTTTCTCCATGTCCCTATTAGTCTCTGTGTCTAGATGGACAGGAGACCAAAGGATGGAGGGTGACAAGAAACACCAAGTCCTGCTGTATTCATTTCTGGCGGCTGCTGTAACAACATACACACACGGGGTCTTAGAACAACAGAAACGGATTCTCTCAGAGTTCTGCAGGCCTGAAGTCCAAGATCAAGGGGTGGGCAGGGCCGCGCCCTCTCTGAAGCCTGTGGGGGACCCTTCCGTGCCTCTTCCTAGTTCTGAGGGTCACTGGCTCTCCCTGGGGATCCTTGGTAGCCACCAGCGCACTCCTGTCTCGGCCTCTGCTGTCCCATGGCCTGCTCCCCACGGGCCTGTGTCTTCCATCTTCTTGGGAGGCTGCAGTTATGCTGGATTAAGGGCCCACCCTGCTCTAGGATGACCTCATCTTCGCTAAGTACATCTGCCAGAGACGCCATATCCACACAAGGTCACATTTACAGGTGCTGGGGGTTAGGACCTCTCTATATATTTTGGGGGACATAATTCAATCCGTGCCACTTGTGCATGCTGGGCGTGTTCCCACCTGGGGAAGCTGCTCCTGCCCAGCCCGCAGCACGTTTGCCATTTTCCGGAGCGTGCTGTAGCTAGGCACAGAGAGGCTCTGCTGGGCTGCAGGGGGAGCGAGACACACCAGGGAGGCTGAGAACCCACACCGCCTAAACCGAGGGGCCGTGCACACAGGTGGCTCAGTGTCTGCAGAAAGAAGCGGGAGGGGGGTGCAGGGGAACCGTAGCACCAATTACCCATAGTGGGCACATCAAATGATTACACAGGGACAGTGGGTGTGAACCGGGTGGGCCCAGGAGAAACCTGGAGGTACAGTCCCCTCACCTAGAACGCTTCTTGAGTGTTTAATGGAAAGACGCCTGTCCAGAAGGTTTCTCCTGGAAGGAGGGATCAAATCTGTCTAAGCTCCGAAGTAACCCTGCTCAGCTAATAGGTTATTTCCTCATCTTAGAAAGGAAGAAATGAACAGGAGGCAGAAGGGCAACCTGTCCCATGCTCTGCCTCGAAGCACACGTCATCTGGTGGGCAGCCCTGCCATTGTGGAGGTGGGCAAACCGAGGTTCAGAGATGGCATTGGCCATGCTCATCAAAGCAGCCCAAGCTCACACTCAGCCAAGGAGCCCCGAGCCTGGATTGGAACCCAGATGGACCAATTCCAAAATCCTCAAGTTCTACACTCCTTCCCGCCTGCCCCACCTCCATCGTCCTGTGTCCAGGAACATGGCCCTTGTGCCCCACCAGCATCCACCCGCCCCACCGGCTTCTGCCAGAGGGAGGAGTCAGAGGTGAGAGTCTGGTGCTCTGAGCGCTGCCTCGCAGTTGTGCAAATCAGTTCAGCTCAGTGAGTTTTAATTCAGTGTCTACTTTGATGCTGAAGATCTAGTCCCTCCCCCCACAGTCACTGATGGTGTCACTGAAAGCCGAGTCTGACAACACGGAATAAGAAGTCCTCGATGAGCCGCCGCAATGTGACCTTAGGCCAGTCACTTGAGCTCCAAGGCACGGCCCACAGGGGTACCCCTGCTCCCCAACCCGCAAATGGGTGGTGAGACCTGAGGGACTCTCAAATTCCTCCAGCGATCCCGCCGTCTCTGTGCCTGGCCCTCTTTATCTGGGATCGAGCCACTCACACCCTTGCTGCCATCTAACTTTTCTTAATGGCCTGGTAGGGAAATATCACAAAACAAACACACACAACTCAAAGAAAAAAGAAACGTCGCCCATGCCAGAGTTCAGCGTGGCTCTGACATTACATTGGTGCCTCTTGCTGGGAGAGGCCAAAACCACAACTTTCCGGAACTGGAGTGAGCTTTCCTGCCATGAGAGCTCACTGGAGCATTTTGCTAAGAACGGGTTTTCCCAGTTTGAGACTGGCGAGTTTGGGGCCTCTGGCAAAAAAAAAAAAGAAAAAAAAAAATCACTTCTGCTTTTGCCAAGCAGCTTCCCTTTTTCTGGAAACTGCCCGATCCCCACCTCGCTGTGGGCAACTCTGCCAGCAACAGCTACTCCTGGCTGGCCCAGGCTGGTGCGGGGATCTGAGACGTGGAGTCGCAATGGCCAGTGTGGGCAAGCAGCTCTTGTGAAGTTGGCCACGCACGTCTCTCCAGAGTCGGCTACAGATGGAAATTTCCATATGCCCCTGTTCAGCCAAAATCACAGGCTTTTGGTTTCATTATCATTGTCAAACCATTAACCACTAACCCCTGGCACCTAGGGGAGAGCGCTCCTGGGGCCCCACTCTGCATGCTGGTGAGCTCGAATGTCTTAGAAGTGGATGCTTCTGGAAGGAAGGATGGGAAGCCTCCCTCCTCATGGGTCCCCCTCCACAGCTCACGTCCAAAATGCCTTACTCTGTATCATCATCGTCTATGAAATGTGCACGTCCTCACTCCCATCACTGCTAAAACACTGCTCAGACTCAACTTCCCCAGGGGAGTTCACAGGAGAGGGAGCCGGGGCTTCCTGCTCTGGTGAAGGGCTTCCCTCCACTCCCTCTCAGCTGGAGGGCAGGGGGCAGTGAGGGGAGGAGCAAGACTGAAAACGGGTGGCAAGCTCTCGCCTGTCCCGTGCCTGCTCCGTCCCATGTCTGGAAGAATGCCAGCCTCAAAGCAAACCCTCAACAGTGCTGCTTACTGAGTGACAGGACGGACGCACAGGAACCCAGGCTCCTACGCAAGCCTGTGCCCTGTGTAAGGTGCCAGCTCAGACCGAGGCACTGGTCGGGGGTCCCTGGGGCTAGGGGGGACAGAACCCTCAAGAATGTAAGCCCTGGCGGGGCACAGAAACTCGTGCCTGTAATCCCAGCACTTTGGGAGGTGGGCAGATCACCTGAGGTCAGGAGTTCAAGACCAGCCTGGCCAACATGGCGAAACCCCGTCTTTACTGAAAATACAAAAATTAACCGGGCATGGTAGCACACGCATGTAATCCCAGATACTCGGGAGGCTGAGGCAGGAGAATTGCTTGAACCCAGGGGGTGGAGGTTGCAGTGAGTCAAGATCGCACCACTGCACTCCAGCCTGGGCGACAGAGTGAGACTCCATCTCAAAAAAAGAAAGTAAACCCTACGAGGGCAGCAGCCTCATGTGCCCTCCACTGCTACATCCTCAGTGTAGACCACAGACCTGTAGGGGGGCATGTGGTAAGCACCCCATTGTTAATGGGGCCCTGAGAAGCCACAGGACAGGCTGAGACCATATGAAGAACCGCCCCAGGACCACAGAGATGCCAACCCCACACGCCTGAGGGTCCTATAGGAACACAATGACCTGGAAGTGCTCCCATCCTACAGAGAGACCGGAGAGGCCAGGGGTGTGCACGGAGCTTCTGCCCAGAGCCCTGCACTCCACGAGAATTAGCTTAGATCTTGACCTCCTCCTCCCTCCCTGGGGCCCCGCCTCTCTCCTATCTCACAGCCTGCACGGCCCCATAAGGGGTCAGGAGGGAAGAATACCTGCTCTTTCATATGTGACCCACCTGGCAGGGCCGCAGCTCAACGGGCAACCCCAGGACTGGCTGTTGCAGCTTGGACTAAATTTAATTTCACCCTCCAAAGGTAGGGGCGGCTGCCTTGAATGGATTCCAAGGATTCCAAGGGTAAACCTAGTGTCTCTGGACTCAGCCCTAAGTCACTTTTTACTGTGTCCCTCGGAGAGCTCGGGACCCAGGAGATGCTACAACACTTGCTCTTAAACTTTTTAAAAGTAGGTGACGATTGTGACAAGGCCAACAAGGACTGGATGCGTGAGTGTGCTGTCCCATAGGCGCAGCACCCTGGAGGAGGAGGAGGGGCTGCAGCTGGGTCGACACAGCAAGATTCCAGAAAAGAGAGGAGAAAGTCGGTTTCAGAAAAGGGGAAAAAAGTCAAAATGACAGGTTTGTCAGAAAAATAACTTACATTCTGAAAACTCAGCTGCTTAAAAATAATTTACGTATATGTTTTTCAGATGACAATTTTGACAATTTTATATGGTTGATGGGTCAGATATTACGTTGAACTCTGTGAGATGATCATTTTTGAGGTTAGAAAATAGTCAAATATGGCTCACGCCTGTAATCCCAGCAATTTGGGAGGCCAAGGTGGGTGGATCACGAGGTCAGGAGATTGAGACCATCTTGGCTAACACAGTGAAATGCCAGCTCTACTAAAAAATACAAGAAAATTAGCCAGGCGTGGTGGCGGGTGCCTGTAGTCCCAGCTACTCCGGAGGCTGAGGCAGGAGAATGGCGTGAACCCGGGAGGTGGAGCTTGCAGTGAGCTGAGATCATGCCACTGCAGTCCAGCCTGGGCAACACAGTGAGACTCCGTCTCAAAAAAAAAAAAAAAAAAAGTCAAATATTGGCTATTCCACGCAGTTTAACCTAATATTATCACCTGCTCTTCACTGCTGAGGAACCTGGGCACAGGCTGAGAAAGGATGATTTGGGCTCAAAATAAGACCTTCTGACCCCAAACCGAGGCTCCTCCTATGAAATCATGCTGCTTCCCACCGAAAAACCAAAAACAAATAGAATCCAGGCCCCCTTTATTCTACAGACAAGGATAACCTTGGTGTTGAGGTCAGGCCTGTCCACCCGCTGGGGACAGCTGGGTCATTCACCAGCAGCCCAAAGGCAAAGCCCACTCCTGTCACCCCAGCCAGCCCTTGCTCTGCAGTGCCAGCAGGCAGTGCCCATCACGGGCCAGAGAGAAGAAGCCTCCACCCCGACTGCTGTTGTTTATTTCTCTAAAAAATCACATTAGAAATGAGCCTCCAAGGAGCTTGACTTGAACCTGGAACTTTCTAAAATGCAGAGTATCTATGCATCTCTATCTACATGCATGCCTCCCTTCCCCCCACACACATGCACACACACGAACACACGTGCACATGCACACACACGTGTGCACACATAACCCTTCTGGACTTAGCAGCACACGGACCAGCTGGATGCTTGTGGGGCCTGAGGGTGGACAGCTCCTCCACGCCATCAGGGCTGCTGTCTGAGACCTGCCCCCAAGAGCCTCTGGCCAGGACGCAGCCTTCCCCCACACATCACAGGCACAGGGAGGCATTTGGAGCGCCCGAGGATAGGGCTGTGTGACATCCCTGGCAAGGGCCAGGCAGCGGGAATCCAGCCGCCAAACTCGAGGGCCTCATGGAATGCTAATGGCTACGGACAGCACTGCCACAGGCTTGAGTGACATCACCTCAGTTTGCACAATTGGGCTGAGACTGGAGCTCAGCCTTCCTGGCTCCCACTCCTTGAGCTCAGGGCATGAGTACGGCCACAGAATCAGGGTGCCTGGTCCTTAGGGCGCGCCTCCTGTGATTCTCACACAACGGCCTCAAGAAGGGAGGCAGCGGGGGAGTCACGGAAGGAGGGCTCAGTCAAAGAAAGGACACATCTGAGCAGAGGGATGGCCTCGCAGCCCAGTTCCAGGATGGCTGAGGGCTCCATACTCCAGGGCTGGAGCTGGGGAAAGCACACACACCACTTTACACACACACCACCCTCCACCACTCTCCACATACCACCCTCCACACACACCATGCTCCACACACACCATGCTCCACACACACCACCCTCCACACACACCATGCTCCACACACACCGCCCTCCACACACACCATCCTCCACACACACCATCCTCCACACACACCATCCTCCACACACACCACCCTACACACACACCATCCTCCACACACACCACCCTACACACACACCATCCTCCACACACACCACCCTCCACACACACCACCCTCCACACACACCACCCTCCACACACACCACGCTCCACACACACCGCCCTCCACACACACCACCCTCCACACACACCACCCTCCACACACACCACCCTCCACACACCACCCTCCACACACACCACCCTCCCACACACCGCCCTCCACACACACCATGCTCCACACACACCGCCCTCCACACACACCGCCCTCCACACACACCATCCACACACCACCCTCCACATACACCATGCTCCACACACACCGCCCTCCACACACACCATCCTCCACACACACCATGCTCCACACACCACCCTCCACACACCACCCTCCACACACACCGCCCTCCACACACCGCCCTCCACACACACCACTTTACACACACGCCACCCTCCACACACCACCCTACACACACACCACCCTCCACACACGCCACCCTCCACACACACCACACTCCACACACCACCTTCCACACATACCACTGCAGACACTGGGATGTTTTTGCCAAGCAGAGAGGCTGCAGGCAGAGAGGCATGGGCTGTGCCATAGGGGAAAAGTGGGTGGGTGGGGGCAGGCAGAGGGGTGGGGGCGGCAGGAACCACAGGGATGGGTAGAGGCTCAGAGCCACACCTGCTCCAGACCATATGGACCTCACAGATGAGTCTGTGTCCTCGCTTAGGCGAAAGCTGAGCTCCATGATGCTATGTGCACCCTGTCTCCATTTCCAAAAGGATGCTTGCAATGCAGTTACATAAAATACCTTGAAAGGAGGAAAAACAGTAGCCACAGGAAGATAAAGTAAGGCGGTCTCTGGAGAGAGGTTAAGACACAAAAACCCGTAAGTCCTACACACTCGCCAGACACAGGCCACACATTCTGCCCTTGGGGTTTCTCCAGCAAATGAAGAAAGAAGATTTCTTAAAAATTATAGCATACTCAAGTTTGCTACATGGCATATCATGGCAAACCTACATAGGGTATCATTTAATTCTCATGGCCACCTGCAGGCAGGTATTCTTATTGCTGTTTCACTAACAAAGCAACTTAGGTTCAGGGCCATCAGGGAGCCTGTCCAAGGTCACACAGCCAATGAGAGGTGTGGCAGGAGGGAAACCAGGTCCCCAAAGTCCTGGCTCCCCGTGGCGATCTTTCCAAGGCCCGCGCAGCCGAGGACGCAAGCACAGGTGCCACGAGCACGCTGGAGTGGCCCCGAGGCGGGCCCCTGCGGAGGCTTGCAGCTCCCTGGAAGGTATTTTGCCTTCTTCATTGCCCCAAATTAGGATGTAGGGGGAGACGAAAAGACGTCCTGCAGGGAAGGGCGTGGATTTTGGAGACAGCCACACCGGGTTCAATTGGCCTCGCCGTGGCCCTTAGGCAAACAACTCATTCTATCTGAGCCTCCGTTTCTCCAACTGTAAAAACCGGGTGAATACTAGGAACAGGCAGAGTTGCTGATGAGTTAAATGGCAAAATATGTGAAAGACGTTAAGTCTGGCACCCACACCGAATATAACTCAGTGAATGCCCGCATCTGAAAAACAAGACCAGCCACACACACGGTCACGGCGTCCCCACCGGAGCACGGTCACCTGTGCCTCATCAGCCACGTGGCCGCCACAGGGAAGAGAACTGGATCGCAAGGCAGGTGTTTCAAGTCTGGTGAAACCCAGCTCTAAGGAAACAAGATAAAGGAGGAGAAGATACAGGACAGCAGGCAGAAGACAACAAGAAGGGCGGAGAGAAAACGGAGCAGAGAAAGAGGAAAGAAACAGAAAACGGTGACAAAAGAAACTACTGGACTGCAGCCCAAAGTCTACTGCTTTCAGCTTTGTGTAAAAGGTGGTATCTTTTAGGGCTCCAGAGACACTAACCAGTGTAATTTTTGCAGGCAACATTAAAACAAAAAAACAATCCTAAGACCCATCTATTTGCAATTAGGCAAGGGCTGATCATTGCTGGAAAAAAAAAAAAAAAAAGCCCACAGGGAGTATAAGGGATGGGCACAGAACGCGCAGCATCCTGCGGAAGACGGTGTGGGAGATGAGAGCCAGAAAAGGTCAGTGCTTTTTGCTGGGTGACATTCAGGACCTTTCTGCTCCTGCCAGCTCCCAGCTCCCAGATCACTGAGCCCTACAGAGTTCTGCACAAATGAGGAATGAGGCCGATGCCCAGGTCCGCCTGTGAGAGGGGGCTGTGCCCAAGGTGGACCCATCAGCAACTGGAAGTACCAAAAAAAAAAAAAAAAAGACTTCATATAAATGCATCTATAGTCAGCCTATAAAAATGGTTGGAAAGCAACAGCCCACTCCTCTCCACGCATTTTCTCGGGTTGCATGCTGCCTTCCGGCACCATCTGTCTGTTCAGCACAGCGGTTGTGTGTGGGCTCAGGCGCCAGACGGCTCCGGCTTGATGCCCGGCTGTGCCACCCCCTGCCAACGGCCTCTGCTGTGCAGATTTTCCCATCTGTAGAATGGGGACAATAGCAGCACCAGCACACAGCTGTGTGGGGATGAAGTCAGCTGCCACCCACGCATGCTGAGGACCTGCTGGCTTGGGAGCGCTCGCTCTCTTTGTGGTCACTGTTGCTCTTCTTTTCCCTTCAGGTCTGAACTGAAAAGTCATCTGAACCAGGTGCCACCTCGCTGGAGCATCAGAAGGCGGGCATACAATTTCTAACACCTTCTATACAATCCCAAACGGTGATTTCCTGTCACTAGGAAGGAATGGGGCATAGGAGACAAAGAATTGCGGGTTTTACTCCTTTGGCTGCTCCCTAAGGGGTACAGGGTGCTGGGACTTGCCTCTCCCATCTCTCTTTGGGAATGAAGCGCTCCTTTCCCCCACTGCTGGTGGTGCTGTGGCCCCTCGGCTGCCAGCCCCTTATGGGGACAGCCCAGGCTGGAGGAGCCACCTTCCCAAGGCCCCAGCCTCTTCCACAGTCAGCTACATCCACCAATGATTGTCCCCAGCCCCTGCTGCTACCCAGCAAGGCTCAGAAGGGTGGGCTGAGGCCCTAGCTGAGACTGTGGGGCAGCCCAGCCTCTCCTGCACCGTGCCTACCCCTCCCCTCCCCTCCCTTACACTCCCCTCTCCTCCCCAGTACTCAGCAGCACCCTGCCAGCCTCGGCCACAGCTGTCCCCAGCTGGCCCATTGAAGAGCCCAATCTGTACCACTTGGTGGGAAGGTGACTGAAGCTACTGGCTCCTTGGAGCTTTAAGCAGTATGGAGATTATTTTTATTTTTGTTTATGCATACCTTGTGTCACTTTCGGTATCCAGGTGTCATAAAGATACGTGTCAGGGATTGGACTAGGTAAGCCTCAGTGGATAGTTAAATACCCATATCTCCCACACCCCATTATTCCCCTCCACTATTCACCTGCCCACACACACACACCACCCCTGTGCTACAGGAAGAGAGAGTCACAGGGAAAGGGAAGTCCTGCCTCCTCAATGGTCCTGGACCATGGCCATGCCTGACACCATTGCTGCTGGAAGAAGGGGTGACATCGTCATTCACTTCGGCCGTTTCTCGGCTTCCTGTGATTTGAAAGTTTTCCAGTGCTGAGATGGGTTTGGTTTGAGCCCCCAATCCAAAGATGCTTTGCTGGTAGCTAGGAGGTATTCAGCAAGCACCTGCTATGCAGAATGCACAGTGTGGAGCACTTGGAGGGACCATAAAGATGAACGGAACACGAATTCTGCCCCCAGGAGTCTTGATGGAGCTGACGGGCACCCTAGGCCTTGTCTCGCCCCTAGGAGGCCCCTCTTCCTGCTCCTCTGCAAGGCTGGCATCGACAGCAGGTCCAGCCCCATCCCTGGCCTCAGTGACTCAAGGGGAGTTTTCAGAAACTTCTCAGATCAAGGAAAGCTCAGAAAATCCAGTGTCTCCTGAGGAGAAGCCAGACCCTGGCCAGGTGTCTCTGGAGTCTGTCACAGAACAGATTCAGGAAAAACAGGTCGCTGGGGCCTCCAGCAAACAGCCGATACCACATCTGTGTGCATCGTCCTGTGATGCCCAGGGAATGGGCTTCGAGGGTGCTGCACAGCTGTGGCACCAGAGAACACTCCGCGGGGAACGGCGTCAGACGGGGCGGGGCGAGGTGAGGCCCGCAAGCCAGTCCCTGCTGCACACGGTAGCGAAGGCGGAAAGCTGCGGCAACACCTTCCCACCATCTCTGTGAGGTCTGTGGGTGGAGAGGGTGGGATGCGACTGCCAGCCCCGTGGAAAGGTATGATTCTCCAAAGAAGACAAAGGTGCTGGCCAGGAATCATGGTCTTCAGAGTGAGGGCAGCGCCCAGCACATCTCTCCGTGTTCACTGAGACACAGCTAAGACACACACTTAAAGGGCCATGGGATTAGCGAATAGGGAAGACTTCCCAGGGGCGAGGACTGTGAGAGTGGAGGTGAGTAATCTGGCGGCAGCTGCCTGAGGCTGTGTGCCCAAGCCCGGCTGGGTCTGCTGCCAGCCACAGCCCACAGTGCCAGAGCTGTCCCTTGGCGCCATCAGAAGCTGAGTGGCCTTGGATACCTTCAGCTCCCCTTCTGCTCTCATCAGCCACTTGCCAGCCATCCTCTTGTCCCAGTGAGAGCTGCAGGTTAAGGCACCGAGGATGTATCTCCATCTCTGTCCAGTGCCAAGCAGTTGAATGATCTGGTAAACAGCTGTCCCTCACTCCCATTTAGGCAGTAGTCATCTCAGGGTATCAGCTGGAAATCCAAGGCCATGGGAGTCACCTGAGTCCATGCCGCTGGAGGGACGCAGGGTTGCAGGACACGAGTGCCCATCTTCTGATGTAGTCCAAGATTCCCTCTCCGCCACCTGCAGGTGGGACTGTGGGCTGGGCTGACGGAGGTGGCCGGGCACCTGGAGCTGTAGCAGGTATCACAGAAGCCTAGAATGCTGGACCCGGAGGGGCCCTTCCAGTCACTAACAGGGCTCCATCTGCCTATCGGATGCTTTCATCCACCTTCCATTAAGCACATTAACCAGCAGCTATGATATGCCCAGCCACTGCCCCTTCTCCAGCCTCCGTGGAGCCCCTCCTGCTGGAGGCAGGGCAGAAAGGGGGCACCAGGACAGGCCCTCGGACAGGCAAGACCACAGGCTGGGCATGCTTTGCGCCATTTGCAGCAGAGAGAACCAGAACTTCTTGCAAACATCTCACTCCTCCAATACCACACACGGCCACCTGCATCTCTACATTGCTTGTCCTTGCCCACCCCCTCTCCTCCCTGGCATCCACGCCTGTACTGGTGGACAATCAGAGACACGCACTGATGGGTGCCATCTGTGGTGCCCAAGGCCTCGCCTGTGGAAGGGGGTGTGGGTTTCATCTCCCATTGGGAATGAACCAACCACAAGACAGAGAGAGAGAGCACGGCCCCCAGCTCACCCACCCCACCCGAGGCCCACTGCAGACTGGAAGGAGATGACTTGGGAGCCTGAGTGTTCTCTAAAAGCCCCATATTTATTTTCTGGAGTCAAGGTGCAAAGTCCCCATGAGTTCCCCATTAGACAGCAAATGCCCCAAGGAGAAGAGGACAAAAAGCATATTAACCTGATGAACTGATTCCCAAGGATGCCTGCTGTGCCCTACCTCTCCTAGAGGGCACTGTTCTCGCCCAGGGAACACTGTCTCCCCTTGTCTGCCCACCTGTCTTCCATGCCATGACCCTACTGGGGTCACGTTAGGCTTGTGGTAGAGGGAGGTGCAGGCAGACGAGACTCCAAGGACCCTAAAGTCCCAGTATTCTGCTTCTAGGTAGAGCTTGCCAGGTTAGATTTCTGCCCGCCACCTCAACTCTCTGCAGCCCCACCCCAAGACTTTGCCTTCAAGTTCCTGGCACGTGGACCAAGGCCAAGCCCATTTCTAAGCCTTCTCACTCTCAGTTAAGGGCTCAGTACCTTCAGCCCTGGGGGCTCAAGCTGGCTTCACTCTGGGGTCAGGACCTTGGCCTGTCTCAGTGTGAATAAGGAGACCTATTGAACAAATTTGCAAATTATTCAGCCAAAGCCTAATGAGGGATTAAAAAGGAAATCTCGTTCAAATTACAATCAAAGAATCACCTGCAGGACGGGCATGGTAGCTCATGCCTGTAATCCCAGCACTTTGGGAGGCTGAGGCGGGTGCATCACTTGAGGCCAGGAGTTCAAGACCAGCCTGAACATGGCAAAACTTCATCTCTACTAAAAATACAAAACCTGGCCGGTCATGGTGGTGCATGCTTGTAATCCCAGCTACTGGGGAGGCTGACACATAAGAATTGGTTGAACCCGGGAGGCTGAGGTTGCAGTGAGCCAAGATGGTGTCACTGCATTCCAGCCTGGGTGACAGAATAAGACTCTGTCTCCAAAAAAAAAAAAAAAAAAAAGAATCACCTCCATTGAAAAGAATAAAATTATCTGAAGCTGGGGACATCCCCAGAAAACCTGGGATGGGATGGTGGCCACAGCTACATTCTTAGGGTCGGTCCTCCCATGGGCGGCTTGTTAGGGAGAGGGAGGCAACCCTTCTAGACACAGACATCCTGCTCTTTACTGTGGCATCTCAGTCATGCTCCCCCAAGTCCTGTGAGGTGGGGATTATATTCTGTATTTTACCGGTGAGGAAACTGAGGCTTAGATTGTGCCAGTGAACTGCCCAATAGGACACAGGGGGCAATCATTGACACCGGGGTTGCGACCTTGGCCTCTGGCACCCAAACTCATGCTCCCTCCCTAGCAGCCACTCTTCCATTGGCAAGATAAAAACCATCCCATCTTCCTGCTCACACACAGGACTCTGTTCTTGAGAATCTAGTATGAGGGACGGCTAGGTCCATGCCCGTCCCCTCAGTGGACGGATGCTCCCTCCTCCAATGGCACCAGGAAATAGAGAGGTCCCTGAAGGGGATGAGGCCCGAGGCACTGGCATCTGGCCCCCGGGCTCTGCATTGCATGAAGGTCTAGGCGCCCGGCCCGTCTCCAGGCAGAGGACCATCCCGCCATGGCAGATGCCTCCTGCCAGACACAGGATGCTGTACTAGTCAATCAGCCTGAGCCAAAGCCCAAGTAACTTTCCCAAGTGGGAGGTGAAGGAAAAAAACAAATAACACAGTAATGTGCCTAAAATCTGCCCCTTTTTTTTCTGGCCAGTAGATTGGATGGAAAAAAAAATGCCTCTTTTTGAAACCAACAAGACATGATTTGTCTGAAAATGTTCTCTTTGAGGTATGTGGCTCCCACAAGATTTGTAAAAAACGGGTTCACTCAGATTTTTCTAAATTGGGTCGTCGAGTTAACTAAGCATTTCCATTCTCAAAGACGGCCCCCATTTTCTTTCTTTCCCCCTCTGTTAGTTAAGCTTCTGCATGTCCTCACCATCATCATCATCATTGTCAACATTCAGGTCGGCTGTGTGAGAGGTGGCTTCCTCAGGGCTGGGACATGACAAAGTGTAGACGCATGCCATCTTTAAAGGAGCTTATGGTTTAATTAAGGAGACAGGCTGGATACTTCGAAAGAAAAATCGTGAGATTTTATGAGAAAGGGACGCGGTGCCGTGGATGCCGTGGTGTGGCTCCCGGATCCCCAGGCGCAGGGAGCACTGGTAGGTCCCCAAGTGCAGGGGGCACTGGTAGGTCCCTGGGTACAGGGAGCACTGTTAGGTCCCTGAGTGCAGGGAGCACTGGTAGATCCCTGGGTTCAGAGGGCACTGGTAGGTCTCTGGGTGCAGGGAGCACTGGTAGATCCCTGGGTTCAGAGGGCACTGGTAGGCCTCTGGGTGCAGGGAGCACTGGTAGATCTCCGGGTGCAGGGGGCACTGGTAGGTCCTGGGGTGCAGGGGGTGCTGGTAGACCCCAGGTGCAGGGGGCACTTGTAGGTCCTGGGGTGCAGGGGGCGCTGGTAGATCCCTGGGTGCAGGGGGCGCTGGTAGGTCCCCGGGTGCAGGGACCACTGGTAGGTCCCCGGGTACAGGGGGCACTGGTAGACCCCAGGGTACAGGGGGCGCTGGTAGATCCCCGGGTGCAGGGGGTGCTGGTAGGTCCCCGGGTAGAGGCAGCACTGGTAAATCCCCAGGTACAGGGGGCACTGGTAAGTCCCCGGGTACAGGGAGCACTGGTAGCCACTGGTACTCAGCTGAGTGCCTGGCTGAGACTTGCCCTCACCCGACGGGATCCGCCTCACCCAAGTTCACATCCCCTTCCCAGGGACAGTGTGGGAGCCCTTTGCCTCAATCTGGGACAACTCTGAAGGGTCATCCCAGTTCCAGAATGCTCCAAGGGGTCAGCTGAGGCCTTTGGTGTGAATGCTTCATCGCCCTTCCCCTCTGCTCAGTCCAGCTTGCTTCCCTCTTTCACCACTGAGTGGCCAAAGCTAGAGGCACAGACTCACCAGCTGAGCATAACCTTCAGGTGAAGGTGACAAAGGCCACTGGAGGGCAGACCATCATTTAACAAGGAATAGAACCAAATATGAGGCCAGCACGGTGGCTCACGCCTGCAATCTTAGCACTTTGGAAGGCCACCGCAGGAGGACTGCTTGAGCCCAGGAGTGTAAGAGCAGCCTGGCAAGATGATGAAGCCCCTTCTCTATGAAAAATCAAAAAATTAGCCGGGCTTGGTGGCACCTGCGGTCCCGGCTACTGAGCAGGCTGAGGTAAGAGGATCGCTTGAGCTCAGGAGTTCCAGGCAGCAGTGTTCGCACCACCGCACTCCAGCCTGGACTACAGAGCAAAACCCTGTCTCAAAAAAAAAAAAAAGGAACCAAGAACCAAATATGTCCACCTGCCTTTATGCTGTATTTTATCACAGTAGTAAACTCTATGCCTGCATGCCTCTCCTACAGAACATCGCTTTGAGCCTTTCCTGAGAACTGATATTGCCACATCTAGAGGAGAGGAGAGAGGAGGGAGGTGATAGAGAATGGAGTCTGGAGCCCACAGCCCTTGTCTTGAAATAGCACGAAACAAGCACTGCTGTGAACTGGCTTCCTGACCTCCAGCCTCAAGAGCAGGCATCTCAGGCAGAAAGCCACAGGGCCGGCAGATGGCAATGCTGGCTCCCAGAAGCCCTTCCCTGACCGTAGCCACAGCAGCTGACCAGCCAGGGTGGGACTCCTCTCCTCCCAACACGCCTCCAGTGCAAAGGCCCAGGTTCAATCCTTGCTTCGCCACTGGCCAGCCATGCGACGTGGCAGGTCACTTAACCTCTTGGGGCTGTTTCCTCATTATACGGCGGTCCAGGGTGCAGCTTCCTGTTTCCCTTCTCCCAGGGGCTACCATGCATCCTCTGCGCCACTTCCACACCTGGCAGGTACCCTGCAACCCTAGAGGGGAGGTCTCCTGGCCCAGTTCCTTCCCCAGACCAGGTTGGTATCGCTGCCCAGCATTTCCCTCTGTCTTTGAAAATACTCTATTACCTATGCCCCAAGGTCATGTCAGAAATCTCAAAATACACCTAACATGCAAAGCAGAGTGGTGAGGAGACAAGCGACCTCTCTGTTCTCCTGGCGCTGGCAGCTCCCCAGGGGTGAAATATCTCCTCGGACACTCACTCATCTTCAGTGGTGCAAATGGGAGGGCTCAGGTGACACTCTTAAAAGTCCAGCTTTGGAAGGACCCAGGCCCCATCACTGCTCTGCACGCCCCTCACCCACAGCCCCTTAAAGCCACTTGTCCCCAGGACAAAGCAGTTTCCATACAGCCGTGGTGCTTGAGCCAAACGGAGACTTAGGCTCCAGCCCTCTTTTTCAAAGTGTATATATGTATATTACATATTACACATATTACATATAGGATATACTTTAAATAGCATATGATTAGATAACAATTTTATATAATACTAATTATATAATATATGAATGTATTATATATGTAAACAGATCTAGACAGGTTAAGTGACTGGTTCCGCTCAAATCCTTCTGGCCCCTGTGCACATGACCTTGCTTTCCATCCACAGGCAGAGTCTGTCCCTCCATCCCTTGAGTCTCAGCCGTGTGACTTGCCATGGCCAAGGGGCCTGAGGAGCCCCTGAGCTTCAGGCTGGCCCTCTTGCTGCTGCCTAGACGGCCTGCTGGACACACGGCCCAGTTGTCCCCGCGGCTCGGCTGGCATGGAGCCGACTGGGCGATGGGCAGACATGCAGGCGAGGCTGTCCTGGGGCCCAGCTGCTGGCTGACCCCAGAGATCGGCCAAGCCAGCCCCAACCACGAGAACTTCCCAGCTGACAGAGAGAACAGTGAGAAAGAATAAATTCTGTGGCTTTCAGTCCCTATGTTTTTGGTGTTTTGGTAGCAGCAGACGTGAACTGACAGGGTGACGGCATGCCCCAGGTTAAGCCTTGTGAGGGGAGAGAGGGGCCCATGTGGATCACAGTGAGACCCCTGTGCCTGGCACACAACAGGCTGCGGTCAATACTGGATGACTCAGTGAGAAGAAGCCCCTAGACAGGTGACAGAGGCGCCAGGCAGGGCTTCCTGATTCCGAGTGTAGTGTTCATTCTAATCTCCATTATTTAAGAAGCAAAAACAACAAACTGAGAAAGAAGAACCAGAGACTGGAACCTATGAAAGTGGAGAAGAGGCCGGGCGCAGTGGCTCACGCCTGTAATCCCAGCACTTTGGGAGGCCAAGGCGGGCGGATCATGAGGTCAGGAGATTGAGACCATCCTGGCTAACACGGTGAAACCCCGTCTCTATTAAAAAATACAAAAAATTAGCTGGGTGTGGTGGCGGGCGCCCGTAGACCCAGCTACTCGGGAGGCTGAGGCAGGAGAATGGTGTGAACCTGGGAGGCGGAGCTTGCAGTGAGCGGAGATCGCACCACTGCACTCCAGCTTGGGTGACAGAGCAAGACTCTGTCTCAAAAAAAAAAAAAAAAGAAAAAGAAAAGAAAGTGGAGAAGACAGGTTATTTATTTTTGAGATAAGAAGGGTAAAGAATAACCTTCAATGACCTTCATCTAGAAAGGGGCCAAGTGAAGCGTATGGAGACCTGACACACACAGGGCAAACCGAAGGGAGGCAGCAGACGCCGCCCTCTCTGGGCCCACCGTCCAGCCTCAGCCTGACCGTCCAGCCTCATCCCCTACCCCAGGGAGGCCTTGGCTGCTCGTGGGGCATCTGGGCCATAGCCAAGCAGAGATATCAAAAACCTGACAAGACACAACAGAGACTTTTCTCAGCAGGTTGGGCTAGAATGGTTGTGAACCTTACACTGTCTTTTCTACATTAAGGATAATAAGACTAATAACAATACTAATATTTCACATATTACTTTAGAGATAAAGAGAGACGGCTCATATAAAAGCACACGTCTGGCATATAACAAGTGCTTCAGCAATATTAGCTCAATCTGTTGAAAACCATGCCACCCCAGATGGTATCTGATACAATCAAGAATATTGATCGGTCATCAGCACCATGAATGCAACTCCCCATCAAGCGTATCTAGGTTGCATGGAGGAAGAAGGCTCTCTGGGGTGCTTATTACAACATATGCTATAGATGAGGATGGGGCCCAGGTGATGTATGCTTCAAGCCCACCACCCCATGGCTGCTGGCATGGCTGAGGTGGTGAGCAGGGTGGAGCTGAGTAAATGGTTTCCACATTAGCCCAATAGGCAAATGGCTGTGTGGAGCCTGCCTGCCTGCCCGTCTTCTGGAAGTTGAGCAGGTGACAGAGCTGTCCTCCCACCCCCACCCCTCGCACACACCTCTGCACCCCTGGCCCCAGGAGGCTAAGTCTTGGTGGCCACCCAGGAGGGGAGAGCAGGCAAAGAGGAAGTGCTCTGGACAGAGGGAGCAGGCCTGGGTCCCAGAGCTGCCACACCAGCCTCTGTCACGTTACGTTGGTTTTCTCACAGCCCCTCCACACTAGAACTTCCAGCAGTGGGAGGAGGGGACGCAAGGAAAGACCCAGACCTTGGAAGGGAGTGTCAAAGTGCTGTGGGCAGTGGGACGCTGGGACCCCTTCCTGGGGCCTTGGCCACCTCTCCAGGCCATGCCATGGAGCCCCTCAGTGCAAGCCCCTGCCCTACAGCTCTATCGGACGGAGGCTGTGGCTGCGCTGTGCTTTGAGGGCAGGGCCCTGTTGGATTAGGTTCCTGGGCTGTGATAATGCGGCACCACATACTGGGGGCTTTAAAACAGAATGGATTCTCTCATTGCTCTAGAGGCCAGAGGTCTGAAATCAAGGTGCTGTGAGAGCCACACGCCCTCCGAAACCTCCGGGAGGATCCTTCCTTGCCTCTTCCACCCTTCAGCGGCCCATATTCCGAGGCTCGTGGCAGCAGCTCTGCAATCTCTGCCTCCGCCCTCACAGGCCTTCTTGCCTGTGCCTCTGGATGCAACTTCCCTCTTCTTAGAAGGACTCCAGGCATAGTGGATGAGGGCCGGTCCTAATGGCCTCATCCTAATCTATATGTTAATCACATCTGCAAAAACCCCATCTCAAAGAAGGTCCCATTCACAGGTATGGGGTGCAGAGGGTGTGGGACTTCGACCTTTTTTTTGGAGAATCCAATTCCATCGCACTGTTCATCTTTGTGTCCTCGACACCCAGCCCAGTCCCTGGAAAGCACACAGAAACGAGTTGACTGGTTTCTGGTCCCAGCACTAACCCTGCGTAAACATAGTTCTTAGCAATGGCTCTCTATTTCTTTATTCACAAGTGGAGAATTTGCATCCTATTTTCTCAAATTCTCCCCTCACCCTGTTGCATCCTTCTTCTTCCCCTCCCCAGCACAGTGGAGGTCACTGCAGGGCCACCCCCAGCAATGAACTCCCCTGGAAGAAGGCCAGCAGAGCTGCAGGGCACCCCCCTCCAGGACCAGGCCTTTGGCTCATGGAAAAGACGCTGGGAGCCTGGGGTTACGGAGCAAACTGGTCTTTGTCGTGCATTCATCAGCAGCTTCACTGCCAGGTCAGAGTATATCAAAACACAGAGGCCCTGGCAGACGCCCCAAAGCCTGGTGATAGCCGATTGGTCCGTGACCAGCCATGGGTTGGCAGAGAGGGCTTCCTGTCAACAGGAAGTAAAGGACAGGGATTAAATTATTTTCAAAGTAGGTAGTGGAAGAAAGAGATGAGTGAGATTCCAATTAACCATTCCAAGGCAGGGCTAAAATACAGTTCCACCAAATCACCTTCTTCTACTGGGGAAGCTCAGCTCGTTAATAGCTAACCCCTTCCTCTGGTCTGGGGGCATAAGCCATGCAATGAGTAACAGTGGGGGCTTCTAAGAACTCCGTATGGTTAAGCCCGAAGGACGCAGCTGAACTCTCAGGTGGCCCCTCTGCTCATCTCAGAGCGAGTCACGGTTAAAGAACCAAGCAAAGTCACCACTCTGTTTCAACGTCACAGCTCAGCTGCCCATCGGCCTTTGTTTGTTGCGCATTTTAAACGACGTTGACAGAACTGTGGGGTTATCAGGATGGGCTGGTTCACCGTCCTGAAAGGACGGCAGACAGCTGGTGCTTCATCGGTGATCACGTTCATTGGTCCCATTTTGGCCGAAGGGAGGGCGGAGGGAGGAGAACGGGTGAGCCACATTCTCACTCGGCTCCTGTCAGTGTCTGTGGCTCTACTCGGTAACCTTAGCAGCCCCCATAAATGTAAAAAGGTGCCTAGAAACAGAAAGACACTGGCCATGAGCTGAATACACCAAAATCAGCTCTTATAGGAAAACAGGGAGAGCAAAAGAAAATAAACAGCCAAGAAACAGGAATATTTAAGAGCACATGTATTTGCCTGAAGGTTTTAGAAGATACAAACTGATTTACAAATTACGTAAGCGAAGTCTGAGTAGATGAAGAGGCGTTGGCAAATAAAAAGTGCTTCCAAATGATTTCTTTCGCCAGTCTAGTGTTCAGCACAGTCCAAATTGCAAACCCTGAGTGCAAACTAGCAATATTGTTCTGAGAGGTTTTATTGGGGGGGGCAGTTCAAAGAAAAGAGGCAGGAAAAGACACTAGCAATGCACTGAGACTCCTAACAAGTTTGTGACATGTGAAAAGATGCAATATCGATTGAACCCACCAACTCTGCTGGCTGCTGCTTCTGTTTATGTTAATTCAGTACTCGAGCTGGGAAATCATGATCCAGGATTTAACTCTTTGCATTCATCAGTAGGCTGCTCCTCTGCAGTATGTAGAGCCTCGTTTATATAAGAATCTTGGAACCCTCCACAAAGAGGTACCAGGACCAAGCGCGAATAGGGCAGCGGGGGCTAGATGAGGGCAGAGATGCATATTTCACCTCCACTGTAATTAACCCTGTCATCTACCATGTAATGATGAACAGGCTTTTTCTCAGCTGGGCATTTGTGAAGTAGGGATAAGAGGACGAGGCAGCTCCAAGGTGACTCCCGCAAGGCACTGAGCATGTGACTCTGCAGGCCCATGGGTTTGTGCAGGCTCCGCACTATTCCCCCATGTGAGCTGCTCTGTGGGTGTCCCTGCGCCCTCTGTGTGGTAGAGTCTTTGAGGAAGTGATCACGCATCACTGTCTAGCTGCCCGTTCCCTCCAGGACCAGCACTGGGCCGTGCTCAAGCGGCATTGGGCCAATGTGCCGTGCCCCACTGAGGACGACCCTCGCTGATCAGCCCTCTCACACCCAGCGTGCTGCAGAGCGGCAACCAAGCTTCATCAAAAACCCTGGAGCCACAGGCCAGTCTGAGGACCCCATCACCAAGAAGCTTGACTACTGAAGGTTCCCATAGCATACTCTGGGCCCTATTGGAGCTTACGGCAGGGCATCTAAGATGCATGAAGCCACTGAAGGGCTGAGTCAAGAAAGCTTGCAGCGTGGCCTAACGGGCTGGCCCACACAGGCAGCTCTGGCTACAGGCTGGTTTGGGCATTCATCTTTATTTGGAAGCCAAATGTTGAATTGCCTTTGTTGAATAGTCAAAAGTCAAGGATATCTCTTCTCAATGACAGCTGAAAAGGTGCAGATGATAGATAGATAGATAGATAGATAGATAGATAGATAGATAGATAGGCAGGCAGGCAGGCAGGCAGGCAGGCAGGCAGGCAGGCAGGCAGACAGAGGAATAACTCATGGGGGCAGAAGAAATGGAACAGTATTACACCAGGGAAGCTATTAATAGTACCCAGTTGTTTTTAAGCCCCAGTAGGTACAAGAATCACCGGAGAACTTAAGAAAAATGCAAACTCATGGGTCCCACCCTCAGGCATTCTGATTCAGTAAGTCTGGGCTACGAAGCAGAATTTTATATTCTAAACAAACACTGGGAGCTTCTACATAAGCTAGTCCATGAACCACACTTTGTTAAACATTGCCCTAAACCCTAATCCAGCAAATCTTGCTCAGGATGGTACAAACTGGCCAAGGTCAAAGCTGACACGTCCACTGTGCCACACAGCATCCCCCTTCCCTTTGCGGAGGCTTCCATCCGGAGCGTTTCAGTGGTGTGAGGGGCACAAAGCACTGTCACGGTTCGATCCTCCAGCCCCGGGGCAGGACGGGGCTCCCCTTCCCACCCTCATCCTGGAGTTCCCAAACTGGCTCATTCCAGCCGGATAGAGGCTATGGGGCAGGAGCTGGGTGCAAAGGTCCCAGGCCATCACCAGCTCGGAGGGTGCGTGGCCTTCTCGCAGCGCGGGGCTTCCCTTGAGGCCACGCGGCGGGGGGAGGCACCGCTGGCAACAGGCCCGCCCAAGCCCAGCCCCATCTCTGCAAACGTTGTGACTGCCCAGCTCCCTGGCTCTACTTTTAGTTTGTCTCCAGCGACTGTGCAGGCTTTCTGGAGCACCTCTCCCCAGAGGGCCAGCGACATGTACATTCTGACAGAAATGCCCCACTCAGCAGCAACCATCTGAACTCCTCCAGCCTGCCTCAGTGTCCCCAAAGACTTCTGCCTTGGGTCCATCTCTCTGACGTCTTCCCTCTCCCTGGGTCTCCAGCTCTGTCATTGGCTTGAAACAGTTCCAGAGACACACGACATGGCAGCCAGCCTTGATTAAAGCATGTCTATGGGGTCTATGAACTTTAGCACTAATAGGGAAGCTGCTTTTTCTTAGACCGACATAAGGGAGAAAGAGCACGCTTGCTACCAAAGTCTCGGCAGAACACCACGCACAGCTACGCTTCCAGTGAGTTACTTCCTAAAACCATTCCCATCACCTTCATAATCAGCCATGCCTTACAAGAGGCATGGAGGCTCAGAGCAGGGAGCCAAGGCGGGATGCCAACAGGCCAGGACTCTGACCTCTACGGCCCTTTGCTACTTTGAAAGGCCAGCATGGCCTCAGGATAGAATGTGCCGTCAGTCCTTCCCCTTCCTCTCCATTGCATCCTCCCCCTCCTCCTCCAAGACCCTGGAGCTGTGCCCATAAAGGTGACCCAAAATGCCCAAGAAAGGCTGAAGCCAAGCAAGGCGACACCTTCGTTAGGTCCAAGGGCCACGTTCCCTTCCCCAGTACACAGCCATCAACCGAATTCAATTGATAAATTACTTAGTAGTTCTAGGTCTCCACCACCGTCCACTACCCACTGGCCCTAGGCTGTCCCCTAAAATGGATTCTTCCTTCCTGGTGTCCCAAAGCCTAGATGGGCTGTTGACAGGAAGCGGGCAGTGGGGACATTCAAAATCATCAGAGCCCGAGAGAGGAGGTTTGCAACAATTGCCTCCAACACCCTAGGCCACGGTTCTGTTTATGATATGGGCTGGAGGCTGAGGTCCCCAAAACGACTCAATCCAATTCAATGAAGAGACAAGCTGCTTGGGCACTAGGGGTCCGAGGAGGCCACCAAATGACCCCAGTCACAGGCCAGCCAGGGCCACAGTGTCTTTCAAGAGTTATTACTCCTCAGAATCCAAGATGTCCTTGGCAGTGGCAGTCCCTGCACACCACAGTCCTCTGAGGCTGGGGTGAGGAAGCAAATGTGATTCCCCATGGACGTGCTGCCCTCTGCTGAGACACACCCGGGCTATGACCAGACTCATCATTTCCCCCAAGAACCGGCCCCTTATCCCAAATACCTCCACATCAGTTCCTGCCACCTCAACCCCTTGCCATCCACTAGGCTGGCCTTCTCACGTCCCACGTCTGCCCTTCTGCATTCTCTCATCACAGCTGCAGTTCAGGCCCTCGGACCCTTACCCTGGGGGGGGGCTTTTGCCAAAGTACTTGAGTTGGTTTCCTTGACACCAGCCCGTTTCCCATCACTCCACTCTGTACACTTTTCCAGGCTGATTCCCATGGAATGCTGTTTTCTTTACCTTTAATGGCTTCTTAGTTCAGGTCCCCCCAGAAAAGACACTCAGACAGGAACTTAGGTTCAGGAGTTTATCCCAGGGAGTGCAGACAAGGGAATGGGGAAACTGAGGCAGGAACTGGCCAGAAGGGCCAGTAAGGTGCATTAACGAGTGGGTTACACTGTGGATCCCCACCCTGCTAGGGATCCCCTGAGGCATCCTGCAGAACCCAGGTCAGAACTTCCCACTGAGCAGCAGGGCGGCTGGGCCATTGGCCACCAACTGGACCCCTCCTGGGTTGAGGGTTGCCCCTCAGGGCATAATCCCAGCACTTCCAGGGGTTCCTGCACTAGGCTGAGCAAGCTGCCAGGGTCTGAGAGGATTCCTTCAGGTGGGGAGGGAGACACGAGTAAGAGGCAGTCCACCAAGGCTGCAGGTGAGGGTGGGCTGGGCCCCAGGCACCAGGAGGAGGCTATCCACAGCGTCCACCGCAGCTTCTTCACGCCTTCAGGAGGGGGTCCTCACGCCTTAGGCCTGGTCTTCAAGGCAGCATTGCCAGATCAAATACAGGACGCCCCCATTAATCTGGGATTTCACATCAACAATGGATACTTTTTAGTATTTCCCAAATATTGTATGGCGCATACCTATGCTAAAACATGATTCATTGTCTACCTGAAATCTAGATTCAACTAGGCATCTTGTATTTTTAGTTACTACAGCTGGCAACCCTATGTCCAGGTCCTTCCTGATCCAGTCTCAAAGCATTTCCTATGACTCTAGCTCTCAAACCCTTTCGCCAGGAGGCGTGGCTCTTCACCTGGAAGCAGCCATCCCCTCCCGCCCGATTCTGTGGGGTGCTCCCACTGGTTCCTTAGTGGGAGTATCACCCCC
Source organism: Homo sapiens (assembly GCF_000001405.40). NCBI lineage: Eukaryota > Metazoa > Chordata > Mammalia > Primates > Hominidae > Homo > Homo sapiens. Next base: position 151,873,272 of record NC_000007.14, read on the forward strand.
ACTTCTACGTGACTCCTGCCTGCCATCTCTGGGTGTAAAGTCTCTCTAAACACATCAGGCCACTGTCATCGCTCCTTCTGCCTCTAGAAACAGGTGTGGTCTGCACTGGCCATCGTATGACCCTGGATCATTTGCTAGCCTTTGTCTGAAAGCCTCATTTTCCCAGCGAGGTTATAACTGCCACCTAGCCTGGCACAATGATCCATAGGTAATGACCATTAGGCAGATGAGGGGACCTCCCTGGTACCCAAAGCAACTGCAAGCCCTGTGAGGACTTGGGCAGATCTTCCCCAGATCTCACCCTAACCAGAGCCTGGGCACGTGGTCACCCTCAGCCACTGTGGAATAACTGAATGAATACTACTTTCGCGGTGGGCTGGCTCATGCCAAGAACGTTATGAAAAGCTGCCAAAGTCACCACTGGCAGCAAGAAGGGTGGTCCGAGGACCCCAACTATAACATGGTTTTTCAACGTTCACGGCCTGGCCTCACAGTCCTTTTTCTGGTTCTGGATTTTGTCTCACACTATCGCTGGCACCACCCCACGGGCACGCCCACACATCACTCACACCCTGCATTTGGAACCAGCCTCAGCATGTGGCTGCCACACAAAATGGCCCAACCACTGGACAATGGCATGTTCTTGTTTCTCTCTATATATTTTTTTAAAAAACTAGGTGTCTGATGTATATGTATATGTATATGATGTATATGTATATGTATATGATGTATATGTATAAGTATATGTATATGATGTATATGTATATGATGTATATGTATGTATATGTATATGTATATGATGTATATGTATATGTATATGATGTATATGTATATGATGTATATGTATATGTATATGATGTATATGTATATATGTATATGTATATGATGTATATGTATATGATGTATATGTATATGTATATGTATATGATGTATATGTATATGTATATGATGTATATGTATATGATGTATATGTATATGTATATGATGTATATGTATATGTATATGATATATATGTATATGTATATGATGTATATGTATATGTATATGATGTATATGTATATGATGTATATGTATATGTATATGATGTATATGTATATGTATATGATGTATATGTATATGATGTATATGTATATGTATATGATGTATATGTATATGTATATGATGTATATGTATATGTATATGATGTATATGTATATGTATATGATGTATATGTATATGATGTATATGTATATGATGTATATGTATATGTATATGATGTATATGTATATGTATATGTATATGTATAAGCCATACATTTATAGGACACTTTACACTTGTCAAGAGTTTTCCCGGGATGGGTGTGATGGCTCACGCCTGTAATCCCAGCACTTTGAGAGGTCAAGGTGGGCGGGTCACTCGAGCCCAGCTCATGTGGACCAGCTTTGGGCAACATGGTAAAACCTCATGTCTACAAAAAAAATAAATAAATTAGATGGGTGTGGTGGCACATGCCTGTAGTCCCAGTTACTCAGGAGGCTGAGGTGGGAGGATCACTTGAGCCTGGGGAGGTTGAGGCTGCAGTGAGCCATGATTGCACCACTGCATTCCCACCTGGGGAGCAGAGTGACACCCTGACTCAAAACAAAAAAAACAATAAAAAAGAGTTTTCCCATGAATTACTTTATTTCAATATCCGTATAAAGCAGGAAAAATGGGTATTATTTCCTGCATTTGACAAATGGGAGAAACAGTAGTTACACGGTTAGCTCAAGTGATCACTGTTTAAGAGGTTTGTGGCAGCAACATCTAACTTTTAACTCACGAACATGGTTTTAAATGTCTTACATGAGAGATGTAAACAAGAATGTTTCATTTTCAAATAGAACACTTATTCCTGCATAATCGAGTCACCACCGTGGGGGCCACACAGCAGCCAGGGGTCCAAGTTTCCAGCCCCAGAGCTTTCCAGCCAGGGAGGGCTGGCCCAGGGCCCCTGTGGGGCTACTTGGCATCAGGTGTCTGGAGACCCGCCCCTGGACTCCACCCTCTTCACCCAAGCGTTAGGCACGTGTGGGCCGGAGTTTACACAGGAGGACCTTAGCGGGGCGTCTAAAAGAAGGGTGGCTCAGCAAACACGGGGCAGTGCGCCCTGGGATTCACAGTGGGAAGTGAGTGGCCTGCCTCGGCCATGCCAGCTGCGCCTGACCCTGTCGGGAAGGATTAGCTTTAATGAGGGGTCCGGACAGCCCATTCACTGCGCACTCCCACCCTGCCCCGGGAGAGCAAAATAACTTTCTCTACGGAGCACTCTGGTGTGTGTGTGTGTGTGTGTGTGTGTGTGTGTGTGTGTGTGTGTGTGTGTGTACACAAACATTTACTTGGTTGGCTGAGGCGGAGGGTGTGACCCAGTGGGCCACACCTCCCACCGCCCTACCCCGCTACGTGGAGGCGAGGAACAGTGGCCGCGGGCTACCGGGGCGCCTTCCGAAAAGAGAACCACTACGCGGCCCGCCGCCCCTCTGGCTGGACAAAGTGAAGCCGCAGGCAGATCCGAGTCGCCAATGTCCTCCCGGGCGGCTGGCGCGGACGGGGCTGAAGTTCAATGCAGCCTGCACGGATTAGGGAGCTCCGAGCCCCCAAATACCACAGAGACCCAAAGTACACTCCCGGGGCGGGGGAAGGGAACGGCGGCAGAGGAGACCCCCGCTCCAGGCCCAGAAACGCCCGGAGAGAAACTGGAGCGGAGGGGGTGCATTGGAAGACGCAGCTACACAGCTCCCCCCAACCCCCGCCCCGCTGCTTTCCCCACCCACCGCCCCTCCCCTCTCCTCCCTCCCCTCCCCTCTCTCCGTCTCCAGCAGCCGAGCGCGGGCTCCACCTCCCCGGAGCGCAGTCCACACCGTCCCTTTTCAGCAAAACAACACAACGCACCGCCCCCCGCACCCGCACCCGGCTGGATACCGGGCTACGCCCAGCCGCCCACCCGCCGCGCCCGGCGCCCCCTCTAGTCTGCAGCCGCCCAGCCCCCGCCCCAGGCGGAGCCCCAGCCCTGGCTGCACGCGGGCAGAGAGAGAGATTGAGCCCCGGCTCCGCCAGCCCAGCTCGGGCCCTGTCCCTCTACCCTTTCCCCAAGCCGCCCGAAGTGACAGGAGGGGCACGCACGGCGCGCGCGGGGCGTCCAGCGTTAACCGCTTCGGCGCCGGGGACGGGAGCGACAGGAGGGCTGGGGAGCAGGGGACCGAGTGCTGGGACTCACCGGAATGTGCACGCGCAGCGAACGCCTCTTCTGGCTGGCATTTTTCTTGCCGCCGCTCCCGCCGGGGCTGGAAACATCTTTTTTCTTCTTGGTGTCCATAACCGCGCTTCCCATAACTCTAACCAGAAGTTGATTCTGCGAAACTCCTCGGGGGTTCGGTCCCCTCCTTCCCTCCCCCGGCCGCTGCCTTCGGACTGGAGCCGCGCGCTCTGTTACACCCTGAAGCCACCTCGTGGGGACTTCCGCGGAGAGGGAGGGTGAGCAGGGAACTCGCGCGGCCGCCGCCGCCGCCGAAGCGCCGAATTCAAGCGTCCTTTCCTACGGAACCCTCGTAGGCAAATCAGTCAAAGCCCGTCCCGGTTCTGGTGTCTCCCCGGGTTACTCGTGGCTGAGGTCTCCCGCTGGGTGACAAAGTTTTCTTCCTTTTGCAAAGCTAAGAAACATTTTCCACCCTCTCGGCTCCTCCCACAGATTCCCAGAGGTAATCTGAAAGGCAGGTGCAATTAAAACCAGCAATTTGGAAAACAAGCCTCCTATGCCTGTGCCCAAGTGGGGAATCTGGAACCAGTAAGCCCGTTCGTGCATAAATGTAATCCTCGGCCGCAGAATAAACCAGCTCGGAGCCTGCAGCTGGGTCCGTCCTCCTTTCTGGGCGAGAGGGAGGGCGGCGGGGGAAGAGGAGGTGCAAGGCGAGCCCTCTGCGCAATTAGGCTACGGGCGGCCGCTGGCAGAAGTTCTGGCGGCGGCGCTCGCGGCCCTGCGCGCCGGAGGGGGCGCCCGGAGTCCAGCGGGCCAAGAAGGGCAGGGCGCCCGCTCCTCGCCCCCCGCCGCGCCGCGGCCCCAGGGGACCGCAAGGGGACAGTGAGGGGCCGGGCCTGGCACCGACGCAAGCTCGGGGAGCGCGGGTGGTGGGAGGCGGCGCGTGTTGAACAGGAAGTGCGCGGCGTGCAGCGCCACCGTCCCGCTCCCCGTCGCCCCACGCCGCCCTCGTCGCCGCGCCCAGACCCCTGCGGCGGCCGCAGCCGCTTGGGACTCGCTGCGAGCTGGTTTCGGATCCATCCCGCCTCCCGGCGTCTCACTGTGTGCCCTACCCTTTGAAACACGCCCCCGCGCCCGCCCTGCCGTAGACCAGGCAGCGAGGAAGCCCACAGTCTCCGGGGGCGCTGCGCGCGAAGTAGCACGTGCTTCTCGAAACACCGCAGCCCCCGGGTCCCGCCCCGCCCGGCGCGCGCACTCGAACCCGCCCAGAGAGCGGTGCGTGGCGCTGGGTGCGAGCAGGGTCTAGCCACCCCCACCCTCACCCCACCCCACCCCACCCTGCTTTTTTCAGGTTCATCAAGGTTTGCGCAGTGGATCCGCGGTAAGTGCGTGTCCCCACGCCGCGGGAAACGTGGGGCTCCTGAGACTGCGGAAAGAATTGGGAGAAGGGGAGGGCTCGAAGACCCGGGCGAGGGTTCCCGGTGCGGCCCAGGTCCTTTAGAGCCCCGGGTGGGCATCCAGTACCGCCTGCTGCCGAGGGCCCTAGAGGGGTTGGGGGAGGGGGCTGGTGTGTCCCCCACCCCCAGATGCGCCCCAGGATGGCGCGACCTCGGCTCCCTGGTGGAAAGTAGGGGGAGTGCTGGCTTGGGGGTCGCTTCCCCTCCTGCTCTAGTTTCTGAGGATGTGATGACCCCAAAGGTCATTGGCGCTCCCAGAATGCTGACGTCAGCTCAGCCGCTCCGAGTAATCAGTAATGCAGGGAGGCCACCCGCAGAAAGAACGCGACAGGGGTCGCTTTGGGGACACCATAGGGCCTTTACTCCTTTTGAGGTGCGTGCTTTCGCAGGACTCCCTCCCCAGAGGAGGAGGCATGATCAGCCCACCCAAAGGATCATCTCTTAGGAAGCAGGCGTGCGCCCACGCAGGGAGAAGCATCCTTCCTTTCAGCTGCTTGCCGGGTGGCTTTTCCAACCCGAGTTCCAGCAGCTTGCACAAAATCCTTACAGCTTGGGTGGTTCCCTGGCTCATAGGGGTGGGTTTATATTCTTTCTCCTTCTCCTCTGCTCTCTGGTCCAGAATGAAGCCAGCCTGGAAGATCCCCAGTCTCGAGACAGAGCCTGACAGGGGCAGATGCACTGGAAGGACCCTGTCTGGGTTTAGCAACCAAGCAGCCATCCTGGCCCCACAGGTGTGGGACTTCTGGGTCTTCTCCTGGCTGGCTTCTTGCTAGAGGATTTCAAGAGACCCAGCAAGACTGTATTGTCCCACTGAATGCTCAAGATATTGGTTAGAAGTAGAAAAGGGGAGGGGGTAGTATTTAGCCTCTGTCCCCACTAAAAATTATTCCCAATTGTCATTTGTGTCATCTGTTTAGCTTACAGTTTTAATCCTTGTCAAAATGATCATTTGCCAGGGTGCATAAAACACCCTATTTGATGAGAACTGGTTTTAAAGGAAAATGGGGCCATCAGAAGGAAGCCGGTTGGTGTGAAGAGACGTCTGGGAAGAGCCCCTGGCGAGGGCCCTCATTCCACTGGGTGACCCAGAAGGAGAAAACCGCGATGGCGCTTCTCATTTGAAATGTTTTCTTTATGGACAGTGTTTAGCAATTGTTATAATGTGTACTTTTGTTGATTGATCTGTATACATATGTAAAATAATTTGTTCTCTGAGTTAATTTTGTTGGAACAAAGACTTTAGTGCTTCCTACATTAAAACATTTTACTGTATTGCCTGCATTTTAAGAGCCTTTTTTTAATTTTTAATTTTTTTGGTCCTTGTGATATGACGAGGTATAAATTCTGGGTTTTGTCCAGGGTTCCTGGCTTAGCACTCTCGTCGCCCTCATCACAGTCTCTTGTTATAATGTTGGGGCGCTTTAGGCCTCAGACACCCCAGGAAACAATCTCCTCTGAACTTCCCCTGCCCTCCTTCACCACCTCACCAGCCCAAGGCAGGACTCTAATCCTCCCTCATCTTTCTGATTGTGGGACTTAAGACCCTCTATTCAGAAGGGGTCCTGCCCCATTCCCGAGAGGAAGAAATCCTGCACGGAAAGGCCAATAACGGTCGGAATAGGCAGGACTTGTTTGGGTGTCCACACTTACTCAGTCACTATTGGATCATACCTTTTTGTTCGATCACATTTCTGCATGGTCGTCAATCGTGTCTGTCCAATGAAGTCTCCTTAAGAAGCCCAAGAGGTCTGGGTTTGGGGGCTTCTGGATCCCTGGACATGTGGAGGCTGCTGGAAGACGGGGTGCCTGGGAAGGGCATGGAAACTCCGTGCCTGTTCTCCCTGTACATCCCATCATCTGTGTTCTTGGTAATATGCGTTATAATAAACCAGTAAATGTACATTTCCCTGAGTTCTGTGTTCCACTCTAGCAAATTAATGAACCTGAGAGGGGGTTGTGGGAACCCCAATTGAGAGCCCAGCCTGTCGGTCAGAAGCTCCGGATGCCTGGACTTGCAACTGCTGTGCGAAGTGGGATGGGGGTGGGGTGCCTTGGGGATTGAGCCCTCAACCTGTGGGATCTGCCACTATCTCCAGGTAGACAGTGTCAGAAATGAGTTGGAAGACACCCTGGTGTCTCCTGCGGAACTGATTGCTTGCTTGGCAGTGGGGAGAACCCCCAACACACACATATGGTGACACGAACCTTCCGCGTTGATGATTGTCGTAGCGTGAGAGCAGAGGAAAAAACAATTTGGGATTTTTCCCTTCAGGGTTCTATATATGAATATTTCTGAATTATGGGGGTTGCTTATAGATGATGTCAGAAGAAGTTTACCTGCCATTTTTTTCCTTCTAGAGATACATTAACAAATTGATCACATATCTTCTGACTGGTGGAGTCTCAGAGTGGAAGGAACACAGTAATTGTTTTGATTTGAGGTGTTTTCTGAAAACCCCCGTCTTCCCCTCCCGTTGGTGTGCACACAGTTATTTTAGCCAGGAGCTAAATGTCGCGGGCCCACGCGACGTTGTTCATATAATGACCCCTGACATTCACTCTTTCTCTATGCCCTACCTATGACCTCCTTCTCAACATTAATGCAGTAAAATCTGTGCTGAACAAAAGGCCAAAACTTTAAGTAAGGCTCTGACAATGTCACTGATTCTGCCTTTTGCCTCCGGTGCCAATATTGCTCGGCTCAGCACTGTTACTGATCCTGTCTTTGTGTAAAATTCTAATGTTTAGAAATATATTGCATTACATATTCTTTATCTTGGTGACTGAGTTTTTGGCACCCCCTTAAATTTTGCACCTGAGGCCAATGCCTCATTCACCTCCCCCTCGTCTTCCGAGAAGGATGAGAAGGAGAACTTGGCCAGGCCTGGAGCTGGGGCTGGGGCTGGGGCTGGGGCTGGAGCCGGGGCAGGGGCTGGGGCTGGATCTGGGGCTGGGGTCAGGGCTAGGGCTTAGGCCAAAGCACCCAGCTTGCTTCAGCCAGAGGAGCTGCCTCTGACCAGCTATGCAATGGGGGCAGGTCCCTTAGTTCCCCATCTGTAAGAGAAGTGGGATGGTCTTCAGAATATTTCTGTGGCCTCTTTAAGGGAGCTTGTATTTTTGTCCTGATTGTATTTGGTATGTCTTTGTTAATTGTATTGCTCTAGTAATTTATTTTTTATTGAATTTTACAAAGTATCATTCCACAGTAAGTTGGAAATTAAAAACAAACAGAAACAACTAAAAAACCACCCAAGGCCCTTCCTACAGATGGTTTGGGATAGCTTGTTGGAGAAAGGGGCATATTGAGTGTATCAGTCTGTTCCCATGCTGCTAGTAAAGACATACCTTAGACTGGGTAATTTATAAAGGAAAGAGGTTTAATTGACTCACAGTTCCACATGGCTGGGGAGGCCTCACAATCATGGTGAAAAGCAAGGAGAAGGAAAGACACGTCTTACATGACAGCAGGAAAGAGAGAGTGTGCAGGGGAACTCCCATTTATAAAACCATCAGATCTCGTGAGACTTATTCACTATCACGAGAACAGCATGGGAAAGACCCACCCCCATGATTCCTCCCACAACACATGGGAATTATGGGAGCTACAATTCAAGATGAGATTTGGGTGGGGACACAGCCAAACCCTATCACTGAGGCTGCTTCCCGTTGGGGGCATCATTGGCCCAGGCTGGTGAGCATGAGGGTTAAAAACATGCAGCTTCTATTATGTGACAGTGCCAAGGGCTCATACACATGTTAGCACATTGAATGGGGGAGCAGATATGATTGGCACATTTTATACCACACATGTGTTTGTGTCGTTGCTGTCCCACTATATTAGTATCCTAGACCAACATCACCTGCAAATACTTGGGGTACCCATTTCTGAATGCTGTCAGCTCTCAGGGATCCTGGTCAACACACTGGCCTGCCAGGGTGAGCCACCTCTTCCCCAGCCAGGCAACATTTCATTCAGAGGTGATAATTTAAAATGCTGCACCCAGGTCCAGGGCCTACAACCCGCTGAGAAGTGAAATACCCACAGTAGGAGAGTTAACGTAAAGGAAATCCTTGATCAGAGCTTATGAAGGGGACACTGGCTATTTAATTTCACTTAATCTGGTTTTCCAAACTTACGTGTTCCCTTACGCCCACCCATGCTTTTTTTTTTTTTTAATTTGGCCTGTTATTCCATATAAATAAAAATGACTTTGAAAACCATGAGTCATCTTTATATAGTATAGACAGTCTTAGAATTGGGGGTGTCCTCATGGGTTTGAAGTCCAAGCTTACTCTGGGTGCTTAGAATGTAGCAGTTAGAAGCTTCCTCTGTAATCAGGAGATGGATGTCTGTGTCTGATGAGTTCCCAACCTCAGTGACAGTGGATTCCACATTGCAAAGAAGAAAGGAACTTTTTGATCACTAATAACATGCCAGGCACCATGTTAGGTACTTCATATTAACTATCTCACCCTAATTTCCACTAAAATCCCTGAAGAGAACGATCACATCCACTTTACAGATGAAGGGAACAGAAACCTAGTTGCTGGAATCCGCTGGCATTCATTTCACTTCTGCCCGTGAGTATTAATTGGCTGTGCCCTCTAGGAAAACATAAAATATGTGGCCCCTCTGCTTTTAAGAACTTTGCTGAAGACTCTTTAGGAAATGCCTTTGGG